>NC_000011.10:33847878-33999393 GCF_000001405.40 Homo sapiens | reverse complement strand
TGAGCACTCAACCTCCACCCCCCATTTGAAAAACAAATCATGATAAGATTTAGTGCAATTTAGATGGATTCAGGAAGAACCATTTGGACAACACATTCTTGGCTGGCACTGGAAGGAAAGAACCAGCCGGGCATGGAGGCTCACACTTGTAATCCCAGCACTTTGGGAGGCTGAGGCAGGCGGATCACTTGAGGTCAGGAGCTTGAGACCAGCCTGGCCAACATGTGAAACTCTGTCTCTACTAAAAATACAAAAATTAGCCAGGCGTGGTGGCTGGTGCCTGTAATCACAGCTACTCTGGAGGCTGAAGCTGGAGAATCGCTTGAACCCGTGAGGCGGAGCTTGCAGAGAGCCGAGATTGCACCACTGCACTCCAGCCTGGACAACAGAGCGAGACTCCGTCTCAAAAAAAAAAAAAAAAAAAAAAAAAAGAACCAGACCAAGGATGGAATAAGTGCTAAGTGTCTCCCTGTGTCAGGCCCTGTGCTAAGCACTTTACATGCATTATGTTAAATTTTCTCATTAGTCTTTTGAGGAAGGTTTTAATATCCTTTATTTGTAGGATATATTGAAGCTCAGAGACTTGAGATGACATCTAAATTCGCATAGCTAATAAGTGGAAGAGCTGGATTTGAACCAAGCTCGGCTTGGCCAGCAGTCCATATTGCTTTTAAATAAAATGATGTGTGTCGTTTAGCAGTTTAAAAGGTTAAAGGTGTGATTACAAGGTATTCATACTGGATCTGTTTCTTTCCCACCTCCCTGAGCCACTAGAAGAGGAATTGAGGACAGGTATTTTTTCCCCTGATTTCACTGTTCAGTTCTGCCAGACTCCATCTCCCCCTCCACTATATAGTTAACACCATTTTAAAAAGTTCTGCAGCCCCCTTTCACCAGGTCTCAGTTTTGTTTTTTGTTTGTTTGTTTGTTTGTTTTGAGATGGAGAATCTCGCTCTGTTGCCCAGGCTGGAGTGCAGTGGCACGATCTCGGCTCACTGCAACCTCCGCCTCCTGGATTCAAGTGATTTTCTTGCCTCAGCCTCCCAAGTAGCTGGGATTACAGGCGTGTGCCACTATGCCTGGCTAATTTTTGTATTTTTACTAGCAATGAGGTTTCACTATGTTGGCTAGGCTGGTCTCGAACTCCTGACCTTAAGTGATCCGCCCGCCTTGGCCTCCCAAAGAGCTGGGATTACAGGCATGAGTCACCACACTCGGCCTCACCAGGTCTCAGTCTTGAACCTCTTGCCCTAACCCATTTCAAAGGCTGTGGACTGATCTGAACTTCAACTTCTCCCTGCCCTGCCACCCCCATACTCTCAGGTTGCTATCTTCACTGCTTTTCTCCAGTTTCTTATCCCTCTCTGCTCCCCTGGACAGCCTGCGTTCCAGGCACAGCTTTCCTGGCTAAGGGCATGATTCCTATCTCCTCCGTGGCTGTCTTGCCAGGGCCCCTTAGGCCACTCTGACTCCACTTCATTCCCCTCCCCCTCCCATCCTAATGCCATACAGTCTCCACCCCTCCTCCTTTCAGTTTCTGGCATTGACGAGTGGGAAATGCACTAAGCAGCTTCTATGTGCCAGGCACTAATCCACACATTTGCACCAGGGATGCAAATATGAACAAGTAGATCATTCTGTAATGAAGGAGGCCAACAGAGTTCTGAAACAATGAGACAAGTGTTCAAATACAGGCATGCACGGGATGTCCATGTCATGATAACAGTGAGATAGTCTCTTCTGATGCCAAAGTGGAGACTGGTGGAGCCTTCCCAGATAAGGTGAAGACTTACCTGAATCTAGGAGAATGAGTAGGAGTTTCCATAATTTCCCACCAGCTGGGTTGCTATGGTTATAGCTATAGTAGGCAACTGAAATTTAAGGAGTAGGGGTAGCAGGAGAGGTGAGAAAGTAAAAGGGAGGGTACTTTAGGACTTTTCATTTCCTCTGCACAATCCTTTAAGGTTAAGGAAAAAAATCATATTCCGGACTAGAGTTTCATTCTTCTGCTAACAGGGAGAAATTCCTTCTCTTCTTTCCATTTTGCAAAAATAAAATAGTGAGGGGGAGAGGAAGTTGTTACGTGAATAATTACCTTTCCCGTAATAACTACTCATTTTTAAAGGTGGTTACCGCGTGTTAGAGACGGCGCTGTGTGCTCTTACTGGATACAACGTTCTCAGTCTGTTCTGGAACTGCATTGTTTGGGGTTCCACCTGCTGGTAAGAGCTGGAAGTTCAGAAGTTCAATCACCCTGTCCGCGGGGCTCCATCCTCCTTGCCTTTAGGTGTCCTAGGGCCGAAGAGCCCTGACAGGTGTCTCGAGGTGAAGCTCAGACTGTTTGGACCTATTTCAGTGGGTTGACTGCAGCGAAGGGCCTGAGTGCTGCAGAAGCTGGCCGTGGCGTGGCGGGCAGTGGCCAAATCCAGGCCCCGGTTCTCTGCTACTGGAGCAACCATTGTTGCTAGAGTGGAATCTGCCGCAGATGGGGGTAGGGAGATCCGAGGATGGGTTGCAATTCCCTTGGGGTTACGCTCACGGAGGCAGCTCACAGCCCAAACGTCCAAGGTTTATATTTAATTCCTTCATGCAGCTCCAGGTGGGGAGAAACAGCAGATCCGGTGCGGATGTGCACCCCAACCCTTCAACTGAGAAGGAGCCAGAGCAAAGTGCAGAGGTGGGGCCTCAGCTCCCCAGTTCAGGGAAAGGGGATGCCTGTGCTCTGCAGAGGCCTCTTGTCATTGCTAAGCCGAGACTCCAGGGTTTGATTACTAATGTAATAAGCTTATTTTGCAAATTCAAGGTCTTAAGAGATAGACCAGAGCCAATTCCAGCATCCAGGACTTAAAGAACACAAAATCACCATCTACACTCTTCCTCTGGTTTATTGCCAAGGATGGCCACATGGTCTGTATCTCTTTACCCACTTGGACTTGTTTGTTGCCTTCTCCTGTCTCTGGATTCTTTCTGGGTTGCCCACATTCGCCTCAATATATCTAACTCCAAATCCCAGGGAGAAGGTTTGAGACTGGGGAAAGGGGTTAGTTGTCCTCACCCGAAGATCCCTGGGCTCACTCTGCAAACTTGCCCCTAACTCCCTACTGAAGGGAACCTCCTTCACTCAGTTAAGCGTCAGGCCCCTAGATGTTTCCTTGGTGTTCCTTGGTGGACAGGTCTATGCGACTTCATCCCCCAAAGTCCAAAGAAACTTGGAGAGGCTGAAGAAAGAGGCTGACAAATCCAGTTCCTTAGAAAGAAACATTTAGGGCTGGGCATGGTGGCTCACGCCTGTAATTCCAGCACTTTGGGAGGCTGATGCAGGCGGATCACCTGATGTCAGGATTTCAAGACCAGACTGACCAACACGTTGAAACCCCATCTCTACCAAAAATACAAAAATTAGTGGGCCATGGTGGTGCGCACCTGTAATCCCAGCTACTTGGGAGACTGAGGCAGGAGAATCGCTTGAACTCGGGAGGCAGAGGTAGCAGTGAGCCGAGATCGTGCCACTGCACTCCAGCCTGGACCACAGAGTGAGACTCTGTCTCAAAAAAAGAAAAAAAAAAAAAAAGAAATATTTAGTAGGGACTTGCCAACAGAAGCCATGTCTGTGTCTTGGGTGTCGGTTAGACAAAATGGTGGATCCCTGGGTCATCACCCTCCAGACCCAGGGCTTATGTACTCAGGGAAAGGGTGTTCGTGCTTCAGAAAAGATATGTAGGACAAATGAAGTACAATAACATCAAGGTTGTTTTTTAAAATAGTTAATAATAATCCATTTTATATTTCAAAAGAGCTAGAAGATTTGAAATGTTCCCAATACAAAGAAATGATACATTTCAAGGTGATAGATATGCTAAATACCCTGATTTGATCATTACACATTGCATGCATGTAGCAAAACATCACATGTAACCCATAAATATGTACAAATGTCATGTATCAATACAAGAACAATTAGGAAGCAAAATCAAGATTGTTAGATATTTTCATATTACATCTTAAGAGAAGAACTCTTTGAAATGACAGTGTCTCCTTTTTTTCAATTCTTGTAATACATTCAAAATTACTAGGCCAATTTAAGAAAACCTCATAGTCAAATTCACATTTTATTTTCTGGCTATTTCAGGCAAAAGAGAGGTTTGATTTAACTTAGCCACATGATTTACTCATGAATCAACAAAGTTGTTTTGACCTAAGGGCAGGATTTATAGTAAGTAGATGCTCTCACACAAAGAACAATAGATAAACAATATTTTAGAGATGTTCCTGGAACTGGAGTTAATCAGAAGTCAACATGGTGCAACATGGAGTCAACTCCAGGACGGCATTGCTTTGGCCTCCACATTTAAGGAAGGAAGACTCTAAAGATATCTTCAGGTCAGGCGCAGTGGCTCATGCCTGTAATCCCAGCAATTTGAGAGGCTGAGGCAGGCAGATCACTTGAGGTCAGAAGTTCGAGACCACCAACATGGTGAAACCCCGTGTCTACTAAAAATACAAAAATTAGCTGGGCGTGGTGGCACGTGCCTGTAGTCTCAACTACTCGGGAGGCTGAGGCAAGAGAATGGCTTGAACCTGGGAGGTGGAGGTTGCAGTGAGTTGAGATTGCGCCACTGCACTCCAGCCTGGGTGATGGAGTGAGCAAAAAAATACAAAATAATAATAATAAAAAAGATATATTTAAAGGTAATCTACAGGCCGGGTGAGGTGGCTCATGCCTGTAATCTCAGCACTTTGGGAGGCCCAGGTGGGCAGATCACTTGAGCTTGGGAGTTCTAGACCAGGCTGGGCAACAGGGCAAGACTCCTGTCTCTACAAAAAATACAAAAATTAGCTGGATATGGTGGCACGCACCTGTAATCCCAGCTACTCAGGAGGCTGAAGCAAGAGGAGCACCTGAGCCTGGCAGGTGAAGGTTGCAGTGAGTCAAGATAGAGCCACTGTACTCCAGCCTGGGTGACACAGTGAGACCCTGTCTCAAAACAAGAACAAAGGTAATCTATATTAAACTGCTGGCAGCTTCTTTTGCTGAATAAGAAAGAAAAAAAAATTTGTTACACACAGATTATCTCATATAATCTTCACAGTAATTCTGTGAAGTAGGCATTATTGTTATTCTCATATAGTTAAGAATACTAAGGCTTAGTGGCACAAAGTAATTGCCCAAGTTTTCAGTGGTCCATAGCAGAGAAGCAAATCAAAATAAGTTCTGTTGGACTGAAAACTCTCACACATGCTGCCTCACTTCCATGGAAAGAGCCCCCATCCTCAATGAATAATATTCACTTAAGAATAAAGGATATAGGCCGGGCGCGGTGGCTCACGCCTGTAATCCCAGCACTTTGGGAGGCCGAGGCGGGCGGATCACGAGGTCAGGAGATCGAGACCATCCTGGCTAACACGGTGAAACCCCGTCTCTACTAAAAATACAAAAAATTAGCCGGGCGAGGTGGCGGGCGCCTGTAGTCCCAGCTACTCGGGAGGCTGAGGCAGGAGAATGGCGTGAACCCCAGGGGGCGGAGCTTGCAGTGAGCCGAGATTGCGCCACTGCACTCCAGCCTGGGCGACAGCGAGACTCCGTCTCAAAAAAAAAAAAAAAAAAAAAAGAATAAAGGATATATTGCAAAGAATGCAAAAATCAAGGATGGGTTTCATATTAACTCACTGATATTATTTATGTTTGGGTTTGTCCTCTGTGTTTGTTATGGGCTGAATTGTGTGCTTCTCCCTCCCAATTCCTATGTTGAAGTCCTAAACCCCAGTACTGAACAATGTGACTGTATTTGGAGATAGGGTCTTTAAAGAGGTAATTAAGGTAAAATGAGGCCATACGTATGGGCCCTAATCCAATGGCTGCTGTCTTCATAAGAAGAGGAGATTAGGTTCGGCTGGGCGTGGTGGCTCACGCCTGTAATCCCAGCAATTGGGGAGGTGGAGGCTGGTGGATCACCTGAGGTCAGAATAGCTTGACCAACATGGTGAAACCCTGTCTCTACTAAAAATACAAAAATTAGCCGGGTGTGGTGGCGGGCACCTGTAGTCCCAGCTACTCAGGAGGCTGAGGCAGGAGAATTGCTTGAACCAGTAAGTGGTGGCTGCAGTGAGCCAAGATTGCATCACTGAACTCCAGCCTGGGCGATAGAGTGAGACTCCATCTCAAAAAAACAAAAGAAAAGAAAAGAAAAGAAAAGAAAAGAAAAGAAAAGAAAAGAAAAGGAGATTAGGACACAGACGTGCATGGAGGGAAGACCATGTGAAGTTGTAAGAAGAAAACGACTGTTATAAACTGCATGTTTGCGTTTGCCCCAAAGTTTTTTTTTGTTTTTGTTTGTTTGTTTGTTTGATATAAGGTCTCACTCTGTTTCCCAGGCTGGAGTACAGTGGCATGGTCACAGCTCACTGCAACCTCGACCTCCTAGGCTCCAGTGATCCTCCTACCCCAGCCTCCCAAGTAGATGGTACTACAGGCATGCACTACCATGCCCAGCTATTTTAAAAATTGTTTTGTAGGGATGGGGTCTTGCTATGTTGCCCAGGCTGGTTTTGAACTCCTGGGCTCAAGCAATCCCCTGGCCTTGGCCTCTCAAATTGCTGGGATTACAGGTGTGAGGCACTGCCCCCGGCCTCCCCTCAGATTCTTATATTGGACCCTAACCCCTCCTGGGATGGCATTAGGTGGGGGAACTCTTGCAGGTAATTCAATTGTAAGCATGGAGCTCTCGTGCTGGGACTGGTGCTCCTATAAGAAGACAAAGCTAGCTTTCTCTCTGTCTGCTTTCTGCCATGTGAGGATATAATGAGAAGGTAACCACCTGTAAACCAGGAAGCATGCCCTCACCAGACACTGGGTCTGCTAGTGCCATGATCTTGGACTTGCCAGCCTCCAGAATTGTGAGAAATAAATGTTTGTTGTTCACACCAACCAGTTATGGTAATTTGTTATAGCAGCTTGAACTAAGAAAACCACCATTTATGAGCCAAGGAAAGAGGCCTTAGCCTGAAACCAAACCTGCCAATGACTTGAGTTTGACCATTTATCCTCTAGAACTGCAAGGAAACAGATTTCTGTTGTTTAAACCATCTACTCTGTGCTACTTTGTTATGACAACCCTAGTAAACTAATCTTGTATTTATAGCTCTTGTTACTAATAATATTTCCCATGAAATCAACAAAATAGTTTTGCATAAAGAATAAGTTGGTCCTGGCTGGGTGCAGTGGATCATGCCTGTAATCCCAGCACTTCGGGAGGCCGAGGCAGGTGGATCACTTGAGATCAGGAGTTTGAGACCAGCCTTGCCAACATGGTGAAATCCTGTCTCTACTAAAAAAATATGAAAATCACCTGGGTGTGGTGGCATGCACTTATAATTCCAGTTACTTGGGAGGCTGAGGCAGAAGAATCGCTTGAAACCTGGAGGCGGAGGTTGCAGTGAGCCAAGATTGCACTCCAGCATGGGTGACACAGCAAGACTCTCTCTCAAAAAAAAAAAATAATAAAAAATAAGCAGGTCCTATGATATTTCCTTTACAGAACTGCTGTCTCCAAGAGTGTTTTTTCCTAGGTGCAAGGAGGAGAGACTGGAAAATGGGAAACACAATTAACATGAAGAAAGAAGCATCCTGAATGTTTTCTTTTCCACCATGGTCTTATGTTTAGTTACCATTTAAAGCTTGAAAGTAGCTGTCTTTACTGAACACTGAATGTGAAATGCTTTACACACATTTAACCCACACAGCTATTCTACAAGGTGACTGTTATTCTCATTTTACAGAGGAGGAAACTGAGCCATCAGGAGAAAAGCAATCTGTGGTATTGTGTCCAGAATTGTGGGGTTCTTGGCCTCACTGACTCCAAGAATGAAGCCGCAGACACTCGCGGTGAGTGTTACAGCTCTTAAGGTGGTGCGTCTGGAGTCTATCCCTTCTGATGTTCAGATGTGTTCGGAGTTTCTTCCTTCTGGGGGGTTCGTGGTCTCGCTGGCTCAGGAGTGAAGCTGCAGACCTTCGCAGTGAGTGTCACAGCTCTTAAAGCAGCGTGTCTGGAGTTGTTTATTCCTTCCGGTGGGCTTGTGGTCTTGCTGGGCTCAGGAGTGAAGCTGCAGATCTTCGCGGTGAGTGTTACAGCTCATAAAAGCAGCATGCACCCAAAGAGTGAGCAGTAGCAAGATTTATTGCAAAGAACAAAGCTTCCACAGTGTGGAAGAAAACCTGAGCAGGTTACCAATGCTGGCTCGGGCAGCCTGCTTTTATTCTCTTATCTGGCCCCACCCACATCCTGCTGATTGGTAGAGCCAAGTGGCCTGTTTTGTCAGGGCGCTGATTGGTGCATTTACAATCCCTGAGCTAGATACAAAGGTTCTCCACGTCCCCATCAGATTAGTTAGATACAGAGTTTCGACACACAGGTTCTCCAAGGCCCCACCAGAGCAGCTAGATACAGAGTGTCGATTGGTACATTCACAAACCTTGAGCTAAACACAGGGTGCTGATTGGTGTGTTTACAAACCTTGAGGTAGATACAGAGTGCCGATTGGTGTATTTACAATCCTTGAGCTAGACATAAAGACTCTCCACGTCCTCACCAGAGCAGCTAGATACAGAGTGTCGATTGGTGCACTCACAAACCTTGAGCTAAACACAGGGTGCTGATTGGTGTATTTACAATCCCTGAGCTAGATATAAAGACTCACCACGTCCTCACCAGAGCAGCTAGATACAGAGTGTCGATTGGTGCACTCACAAACCTTGAGCTAAACACAGGGTGCTGATTGGTGTATTTACAATCCCTGAGCTAGATATAAAGACTCTCCACGTCCCCACCAGACTCAGGAGCCCAGCTGGCTTCACCTAGTGGATCCCGCACCGGGGCTGCAGGTGGAGCTGCCTGCCAGTCCTGCGCCGTGCGCTCGCATTCCTTAGCCCTTGGGTGGTCGATGGGACGGGGCGCCTGGAGCAGGGGGTGGTGCTCGTCCGCGAGGCTCGGGCCGCACCGGAGCCCATGGAGGGGGTGGGAGGCTCAGGCATGGCGGGCTGCAGGTCCCTAGTCCTGCCCGGCGGGAAGGCAGCTAAGGCCCGGCAAGAAATCGAGCGCAGCGCCGGTGGGCCAGCACTGCTGGGGGACCCAGTACACCCTCCGCAGCCACTGGCCCGGGTGCTAAGTACCCCATTGTCCGGGGCCAGCAGGGCTGGCTGGCTGCTCCGAGTGCGGGGCCAGCCAAGCCCACGCCCACCCGGAACTCCAGCTGGCCCGCAAGCGCCGCACGCAGCCCCGGTTCCGGCTCGTGCCTCTCCCTCCACACCTCCCTTCAAGCTGAGGGAGTGGGCTCCGGCCTTGGCCAGCCCAGAAAGGGGCTCCCACAGTGCAGTGGGGGGCTGAAGGGCTCCTCAAGTGCCACCAAAGTGGGAGCCCAGGCAGGGGAGGTGCCGAGAGCAAGCGAGGGCTCTGAGGACTGCCAGCACGCTGTCACCTCTCAGTATTTTACAGAGTAAGTAGTGGTAAAGACCCACGCTTTTCACTATATTATTTTGACTGCTGTGATTCACTGCCCTCCTTCTCTACTGCTTCTTAAACTTTCCTGGTTAAGTGTTAACAAACAGAGGTATAGAGAGAAGGGCTGGGTCTTGCCACTCAACGTGTGGTCTTTGGACCAACAACAGGTATTACGTGGGAGCTCGTTAGAACTGCAGAATCGCAGCCTTAGCCTAGCCATGCTGAGTCAGGATCTGCAAGTGTAGGTGCGACTCCACAGGCCTCACACCCATGGAGCTGGCCCTGCCTACAGGAGAGACATCTGCACGTGAAAGCATGAGAAGCATTGTCCTAGAGGATTTTGTGATGCAATCTTTCACCAACGGGATGGCTTTAGTTTTATCTTTTTGCCTTTTTATCTCAAAGTATTTTAAAATGTTTCATTTATGCTCCTTAATATATCCATTGGTCTTACTATAAAATAACATTTACCCCAAAAAACCTTGAAGGAAAACTGATACTCTGATATGGTTTGGCTCTGTGTCCCCACCCAAATCTCATCTCAAACTGTAATTCCCATATGTCAAGGCAGGGATCTGGTGGGAGGTGATTGGATCATGGGAGTGGTTTCTCCTGTGATGTTCTTGTGACGGTGTGTGTAAGTTTTCATGAGATCTGAAGCTTTGAAAGTGTTTGGCAGTTTCCCCTGTCTTCTCTTTCTCACCTGCTGCCATGTAAGACATGCCTTGCTTCCCCTTGGCTTTCTGCCATGATTGTAGGTTTCCTAAGGCCTCTCCATCCATGCAGAACTGTGTGTCAATTAAACCTCCTTTCTTTATAAAGTATCCACTTTTGGATATGTCTTTATAGCAGGGCGAAAATGGACTAATACATACTCTTAGATGATACACTGTGTTTACTTACCGTATCAGTACCTACAGGATTCTGCTTATTCCAGAAAGTCCACACATCCTAGTGTGGAAAACCTGGGCTTAGCCCATCCTAGGTGTAGACTGCAGAGCCCTTGCGTAGATGCTTTTGACAGAATCACCTCCATATGAGTTTCATGTCCTATTTGTCCAAGAAGTTGAGCATTCATGCAATGTCTCCTTAAACCCCTTATTTAAGCTCTCCAAATCTCAGTCTTCTCATCTATAAAATGGGAAGAATAGCACCTATCATCGAGGTATGTTGTGAAGTTTAAACAAATAATACATAAGGCCGGGCATGGTGGCTCATTCCTGTAATCCCAGCACTTTGGGAGGCTGAGGGGGGTGGATCGCTTGAGTCTAAAAGTTCAAGACCAGCCTGGGTGACATGGTAAAACCTTGTCTCAAAAAATAAAAACAAAAACACACAAAAAACTAGCCGGGCATGGTGGCGCATGCCTCTAGTGCCAGCTACCCGGGGGGTGGGGGGTGGGTGGGGAGGCTGAAGTGAGAGGATCGCTTGAGCCCGGGAGGCGGAGGTTACAGTGAGCTGAGATTGTGCCATGGCACTCCAGCCTGGGTGACGGAGAGAGAACTTGTCTCGAAAAAAAAAAAAAGAAAAGCTTAGAGTCTGGTGAAGATGACTTTTATATTTTTCAGTGAGAGAAACTATTTCTAAAAAGAACTCTAAGGTCACTGGGAGGAGCAACAGCAGCAGCATTGACAAGAGGGTCTCTTACACCAAGTCAACGTTCGTCGGTTGCATATTAAAGAATAAGAGCTGGGCAGCACTGTGGATGCCCCTCAAGGCTCAAGGGGGCGCTCTAAGCTTCAATTCTAGGGACTTGGCAAGCACATTCAGCCAGGGCTTGTGCTTTGAATACAAGCAGAGGCAGGGGAGTTTTGCAGAGAAGGAGGTAGGTGGGCTGTGCTTAGGAAAATTGGATTTTCTGCCAGTCTGGGCATGTGGAAGCTTGAGAGATGCATTTGGGAACATTTTTGGGAAAATATTTTTTACCTCTCAAATTCTACAATTGAATATGGTAACTTAAATATATGTATATATTTAGGTTATATACATTAAACATGCTATTGTAAAAATTTCAAATATTAGAGAAAGTGTAGCTTTGAAGGTGAAAGTCCCCCCACTATGGCCCTTCCACTTAAAGAAGAAAAAGTGTTAAGCGTATTTGTTATGCATATTTGCTATGTAAAGTGTTAAGCGTATTTGCTATGACTAAATTAACTACTCAGCTAAATCACTATATGTATACAAGAACATACGCATATGTTTTTATATAAGTATAAGTGCTGACATTTATTTTTTATTTATTTATTTTTTGAGACATGGTCTTGCTTTGTCACCCAGGCTGAAGTGCAGTGGTGCCATCTTGGCTCACTGTAACCTCTGCCTACTGTGTTCAAGTGATTCTTGTGCCTCAGCCTCCCGAGTAGCTGGGACTACAGGCATGTGCCACCATGCCTGGCTAATTTTTAAATTTTTGGTAGAGACAGGGTTTCGCCATGTTGGCCAGTCTGGTCTCGAACTCCTGACCTCAAGTGGTCCGCCTGCCTCGGTCTCCCAAAGTGCTGGGATTACAGGTATGAGCCACCATGCCTAGCCATGAATGCTGACATTTAGCTTCACAAGGCTAACTTGAGCTGTGAAGCAAAAGCCTGGAAAGCTTGTGTCGTGTGGCCCAGGACATGCTCTTCCCATGAGCAAGTAGCACAAAAAGCAAATTATCAGAAACTTACGATCTGAGTGTGGAAACAAAACAAAGGGAGGAAATTAATCTTCTGAAATTTCTCTCAACTAAGAGGGTACCCTTCTCTTACTCCCCCTCCAGCACATCCGGGAACTAGTATCTCACAGCACATATTTTGAAAAATGCTGACTTTCTGTTTGTCATTTTTAGGTTTCCTTAAAGCAGAAATTATAGCTAGGTTATGTTGTTGCCTTTTAAATTATTTTTTTTTTAGTTTATTTTTTTATTGATCATTCTTGGGTGTTTCTCGCAGAGGGGGATTTGGCAGGGTCCTAGGACAATAGTGGAGGGAAGGTCAGCAGATAAACAAGTGAACAAAGGTCTCTGGTTTTCCTAGGCAGAGGACCCTGGGGCCCTCCGCAGTGTTTGTGTCCCTGGGTACTTGAGATTAGGGAGTAGTGATGACTCTTAACGAGCATGCTGCCTTCAAGCATCTGTTTAACAAAGCACATCTTGCACCACCCTTAATCCATTTAACCCTGAGTGGACACAGCACATGTTTCAGAGCGCACAGGGTTGGGGGTAAGGTCACAGATCAACAGGATCCCAAGGCAGAATAATTTTTCTTAGTACAGAACAAAATGAAAAGTCTCCCATGTCTACTTCTTTCTACACAGACACGGCAACCATCCGATTTCTCAATCTTTTCCCCACCTTTCCCCCCTTTCCACTCCACAAAACCGCCATTGTCATCATGGCCCGTTCGCAATGAGCTGTTGGGTACACCTCCCAGACGGGGTGGTGGCCAGGCAGAGGGGCTCCTCACTTCCCAGTAGGGGCGGCCGGGCAGAGGCACCCCTCACCTCCCGGACGGGGCGGCTGGCCCGGGCCGGGGGGCTGACCCCCCCCACCTCCCTCCCGGACGGGGTGGCTGGCCTGGCGGGGGCTGACCCCCACCTCCCTCCCGGACGGGGTGGCTGCCGGGCGGAGACGCTCCTCACTTCCCAGACAGGGTGGCTGCTGGGCGGAGGGGCTCCTCACTTCTCAGACGGGGTGGTTGCCAGGCGGAGGGTCTCCTCACTTCTCAGACGGGGCGGCTGGGCAGAGACGCTCCTCACCTCCCAGATGGGGTCGCGGCCGGGCAGAGGCGCTCCCCACATCTCAGACGATGGGCGGCCGGGCAGAGACGCTCCTCACTTCCTAGATGGGATGGCCAGGAAGTGAGGACTGGGCAGCCAGGCAGAGAGGCTCCTCACGTCCCAGACAATGGGCAGCCAGGCAGAGACACTCCTCACTTCCCAGACGGGGTGGCGGCCGGGCAGAGGCTGCACTCTTGGCACTTTGGGAGGCCAAGGCAGGCGGCTGGGAGGTGGAGGTTGTAGCGAGCCGAGATCAAGCCACTGCACTCCAGCCTGGGCACCATTGAGCACTGAGTGAACCAGACTCCGTCTGCAATCCCGGCACCTCGGGAGGCCGAGGTTGGCGGATCACTTGCGGTTAGGAGCTGGAGACCAGCCCGGCCAACACAGCGAAACCCCGTCTCCACCAAAAAAATACGAAAACCAGTCAGGCGTGGCAGCGCGCGCCTGCAATTGCAGGCACACGGCAGGCTGAGGCAGGAGAATCAGGCAGGGAGGTTGCAGTGAGCCGAGATGGCAGCAGTACAGTCCAGCTTTGGCTCGGCATCAGAGGGAGACAGTGGGGAGAGGGGGAGGGGGAGGGGGAGGGGGCCTTTTAAATTATTTACATTTGAGTGAAAGTTAATATTTTTCTTTAACCTACCTATGGGTTCTTTGAAAAGATGTTTAATGACCTATTTAAGGTGACTAAAACCATCATATTAATTTTTTACTCCAAAGATAGTAGTAAAAGGGAAATTTCCGATAGCAGTTATTTAAAATAAATTGACAAGCCAAAAATATAACATATAATATTAATATTATTATCTAATAATTGATTATTAATTATCTAATATTAACATATTTTGGCTTGTCAATTTATTTTAATAATATAATATTAATAATATAATAGATAATATTAATATCTATTAATATTAATAAATATAAAAGTAAACTTTAGCCAGCCATGGCGGTGCACACTTATAGTCCCAGCTACTCAGGAGGCTGATGCAGGAGCCCAGGAATCCAAGGCTATCGTGAGCTATGATCACCCTCATGAAAACCACTGCACTCCAGCCTGGGCAACATAGTGAGATCCCATCTCAGAAAATAAATGTAAATCCTTGCCATTAGCTATGACTATAAATATCTAAAGTGTTTCTTTAAAATTAATCGTTATTCCTGTATCCTTTATCTATGTAAACCTAACGATGTGGGTTATGATTACTTTTAGGCACATAATAGGTGACAAACGGCACCTCTGGTACCAAAGTATTCCTCATCTCATCCACCAGAGGGTACTTGAGAGTTATTCAATAAAAGAACTTGGGAGAGCAAATTTTAAAATTTTAACTAGAAACCACAGTCCTAAAGTGATATATACACACACACTTCTGTTACATTATTAACCAAATTCATTTTGCTAAAAGATAGCCACATGTTTTTTTCCACTAAATTATAGAATTCTGATACTCTTCCATTTGCTTTTTGTTTGTTTGTTTGTTTTTAATTTGTTTTTTTTCAGAGACGGGGTCTCACTATGTGTTGCCCAGGCTGGTCTCAAACTTCTGGACTCAAGCGATCCTCCTGCCTTGGACTCCCAAAGTGCTGGGATTACAGGTGTGAACTGCCGTGCCTGGCCAAGTTAGAATGTCATTCGTATTCTTATACTCAATTTTGAACATTTTTTGAATCTAACCTAGGTTGGGGGTGGGGTACTGTGTATTTTACACACTATATTAAATGTGTTTTTCTATTGAAAATTGTGGTACTTACATTTACTAGAAAAGGCTAGTAATTTTATTATTATAATTCCAGAATTGTTTCTCTATTCTGTGTAATTAGCATATCATTTAACTGGATTTATCCTGGAGTCTCATGAAAGATGCAGCGTGTTATTTTTCTTTCATTAGGTTCATCTTCCACTTTTCTTTCCCATTCCATGTTCCAGTAAGAGCAAATTACTGTACTGTATATTAAAAAACTAAAAATTAGGCCAGGTGTGGTGGCTCACGCCTGTAATCCCAGCACTTTGGGAGGCTGAGGTGGGCGGATCACAAAATCGAGAGTTCAAGACCAGCCTGACCAACATGGTGAAACCCCGTCTCTACTAAAAATACAAAAATTAACCAGGCGTGGTGCCGTGCGCCTGTAATCCCAGCTACTCAGGAGTCTGAGACAAGAGAATCACTTGAACCCGGGAGGTGGAGGTTGCAGTGAGCTGAGATCATGCCATTGCACTCCAGCCTGGGCGACAGAGCGAGACTCCATCTTAAAAAAAAACAAGCAAAACACACACACACAAAGTAAAAATTAGAAATAGCCCAAATGACCAATAGTAGTGAATAGGAAAGCCAACAGTGGTGTTATGGCAATGGATATTTATATTGATCTATTAATAATATTATGTATACATTATAATACTGATGCAATAGCAGCTACACAGGAGGCTGAGGTGGGAGGATCTCTTGAGGCCAGGAGTTTGAGACTGCAGTGAGCTATGATTGTGCCACTGCACTCCAGCCTGGGTGACAGAGCAAGATCTCGTCTCTAAAAAATAAATACATAAAAAAGTTAATTAATAGTACAATTGCAGCTGGGTGTGGTGGCTCATGCCTGTAATCCCAGCACTTTGGAAAGCTGAGGCTGGCGGATCACTAGAGGTCAGAAGCCCACGATGAGCCTGGCCAACATGGTAAAACCCCGTCTCTACTAAAAATACAAAAGTGAGTGCGGGCGTGGTGGTGAACACCTGTAATCCCAACTACTCAGGAGGCTGAGGCAGGAGAATCACTTGAACCTGGGAAGCAGAGGTTGCAGTGAGCTAAGATCATGCCACTGCACTCCAGCCTGGGCAACAGAACGAGACTCTGTCTCAAAATAAATAAATAAATAAATAAGAGTACAAATGCAATAGTACTAGGAATGCATTCACCAAAATGTGCTGATATCCACTCAGCATAAGTCCCTGTGCTTTGTGATGATAAACAAAAAAAGATTCCTAGCTCTTAAGGATTTTATAGAACAAAAATAAACTCCTAGCTCTTAAGGAGTATATAATTTTGTGTGTGGGGGTGTATGAACGCACTCATAATCAAATATTTAGAGGGTAAGGGTTGTGAGCATGGGCTTTGGAGTTAGAAATGCAGGCTCTCCTACTCATTTGTTATATGACCTGGGGCAAATTCTTTCACCTGTCTCTGAGCCTTGGTTTTCTCAACTGTTAAATAAGAATAATAACCTACCCTGATTTTACTGTGAAAATTAAGCAAGATGAAAAAGCAGTAGACACCTAGTATTGAGTAATAGGCTCAGTACATGGTAATAGTATTCATGGGGTTTTATTATTGGTGCTTTCTTTGTGAAGCAAGGAATAGGGCTTCAGACCATTGTGTAATATCATGCCTGACAGACTGTTCCAGTTGGCCACCATTGGGATGAGATGGATGTATTGTTCCAGGGCCAGACAATTTCTCTGGTCAGGTGAGCTTTAGCCACATCCTGACAGTCCAGTTTTATGGATAGCCTAGTAGTTTTGGCTGCTTGCCATATGGAAAATCACAAAAAAGGAACCTTCTGCATGGGCAACATAGTGAGACCCTCATCCCTAAAAAACAAAAAAAATGTAGCCAGGCGTGGTGGCATGTGCCTGTGGTCCCAGCTACTGGGGAGGCTGAAGTTGGAGGATTGCTTCAGCCCAGGAGGTCAAGGCTGCAGTGAGCTGTGATCATGCCAATGCATTCTAGCCTGGAAAACAGAGCAAGACTCTGTTTCAAAAAAAAAAAATTAAAAAAAAAAAAAAAAAGAAAGAAATAATCTCACATCCCTTGGAGTGGTTTGAGTTTCTTTTTTGCTTTAGTTGCTTCAAGTGGGCCTATTCAGGTGAAGCCTTCTTTTTTTTTTTAATTGAGACAGTCTTACTCTGTCACCCAGGCTGGAGTGCAGTGGTGTGATCTTGGCTCTCTCAACCTCCACCTCCCAGGTTACAGCGATTCTCCCACCTCAGCCTCCTGAGTAGCTAGGATTACAGGTGCCTGCCACCACGCCCAGCTAATTTTTTTTTTTTTAGACAGAGTCTCGCTCTGTCGCCCAGGCTGGAGTGCAGTGACACGATCTCGGCTCACTGTAAGCTCCGCCTTCCTGGTTCACACCATTCTCCTGCCTCAGCCACCCGAATAACTGGGACTACAGGCGCCTGCCACCACAACCGGCTAATTTTTTGTATTTTTAGTGGAGATGGGGTTTCATTGTGTTACCCAGGATGGTCTTGATCTCTTGACCTTGTGATCCGCCTACCTCAGCCTCCCGAAGTGCTGGGATTACAGGCGTGAGCCACCACGCCCTGCCAAATTTTTTTTTATTTGTATTAGAGACGGGGTTTGGCCATGTTGGCCAGGCTGGTCTCAAACTCGTGACCTTAAGTGATCCTCCCACCTGGGCCTCCCAAAGTGCTGGGATTACAGGTGTGAGCCACTGTGCCTGGCCTCAGGTGAAGACTTCTTACAGTTTATAGGGCCAGTTTAGACTGTTGCACCCTATGGGCTAGCTGACCTCAGACAGAACTCTCTTCACAGAGAAATAGGTCTGGGGCCCAGGATGGCAGAGGAAGTGTCTGTCAAGCAAGGCTTTGAGCACTGCTGAAATACAGGGAACCTGTTGAGCCAAGAGTCAAATGGGGAGCGGGCGTCAAAAACCAGACAATGAAATCCACATGGGTCACCAAGTCATGGTAGGCAGAAGCTGTGCTGAAATCCGAAGTGTAGAGCAGGGGTTGAAACCAGGGAGGGGCGTGCAAGCCACAGTGTGTGCCTCTGCTCACCAGCTATGATTCCCGATCCCAGGAGTTTATATGCCAATGAGACTAGGTGAATAAATAAGTTAATTTCACATGCTGCTGAGTCCTGTAAAGAAAGATAGCATAGGATAACAAGTGGAGAGTTCATAGGGAGGCTGTTTGAATTAAGGTGGTATTCTAGGCAGGAAGAACAGCAAGAATAGAGGCCCTTAGACAGGAATGACAGAAGGCAGCTGTTGTAGCTGGAGTGTAGTGAACAAAGAGGAAGAAGGAAATGACTGGAAAGGTAGGCAGGACCATAACACAAAGGATTTTGTAAGCCGTGACAAAGAGGCTGGGTTTATCAACATAATGAGAAGCTATCGGAGGTTTTAAATAGGGAAGCGGGCTTGGCATGATCCCAATTACACCTTAGAAAGATCACTCTGGCTGCTGTGTGGAGGATGTATTATAATTAAGACAAGAGTTATGGCCATGAGACTAGTTAGGAGGTAGTTGAAACAGTTAAGGCAAGAAATGGTGGTTGTTTGGGATATGATGGGAGCAGTTGTCACAGAAGGAAGTTGGATTCAAGATCTCTTATGGAGAGTGATCTGATAGGGTTTACTGATGCATTGGAATTGGAACACAAGGGAAAGGAAAAGCAAGGGGACTCTTGGGTTTGGGGCCTGGGCAAATGTGTAGGCAGTGGTGCCATCTACTCGGGTGGCACAGGATTGAAGGGGAGTGGATTGGGGGAAAGACCATAGCTTTATTTTGGCACTGTTGAGTTTGAGGCACCTGCTAGGCATCCTTCTAAGTGGAGATGTGAAGTGGACAGTAGTAGTAGTATCTGCATCTGGGTTCAGGGATGAGATCTGGACTACAGAGGAATGTTTGAGAGCCACCGGTATTCACAAGGCATCAGTGAAAGGTATTTAAAGCAGGTGTTGTGGTTAGGTGAAATTAACTTGGGAGTAGTGCCCATAGAGCAGAGCTTCGAGGTGGCTCATGCCTGTAATCCCAGCACTTTGGGAGGCTGAGGCAGACGGATCCCTTGAGCTCAGGAGTTTGAGACCAGCCTGGCCAACATGGTGAAACCCTATCTCTATTAAAAATACAAAAATACTTTTGTATTTTTTTTTTGCAGCCATAAAAACGGATGAGTTCATGTCCTTTTCAGGGACATAGATGAAGCTGGAAGCCATCATTCTCAGCAAACTACACAGGAACAGAAAACCAAACACCACATGTTCTCACTCATAAGTGGGAGTTGAACAATGAGAACACATGGACGCAGAGAGGGAAACATCACACACTGGGGCCTGTCAGGGGATGGGGGATAAGGGGAGGGAGAGCATTAGGAGAAATACCTAATGCTGCAGGGCTTGAAACCAAGATGACGGGTTGATAGGTGCAGCAAACCACCATGGCATATGTATACCTGTGTAACAAACCTGCATGTTCTGCACATGTATACCTGTGTAACAAACCTGCATGTTCTGCACATGTGTCCCAGAACTTAAAGTAAAAGAAAAATAAAAAAATTAGCTGGGCATGGCAGCACATGCCTGTAGTCTCAGGTACTTGGGAGGCTGAGGCAGGAGAATCACTTGAACCTGGGAGGCAGAGGTTGCAGTGAGCTGAGATTGCGCTACTGCAAAGCCTGGGCAACAGAGTGAGACTCCATCTCAAAAAACAAAAATAAATACATTAAAAAAAAAGAAAGAGAAGAGTTTTGAGGATGGAGTCTGGAGCACTCCAACATTCAAAGGTCTGGTGGTGAATGAGAAGACAGCCAGCAGATGAAGGAGGTATAAAGTAAGGTAGGAAAAGACCAAGTGAGCAGGAGTTCGTGGAGCCCTCAGGAGGAATACATTTCAGGAGGAAGGAGAAGATCAAGCGAGGGCCTGCTAGTAAGGCAAGTAAGATGAAGACAGAGGCGTGGCCATTGGCACCTTGATTAGAGCTGTTTTAATGGAATGGGGGGTAGCTGGGGCACAAAAGCTTCATCTGAGTAGGCTGAGAAAAGGAAAAGGATGGGAGGTGAGATATAAGCAACTCTTCCAGAGCTTTTTTGTGCAAAGGAGCAATGTAGGGAACAGATAGATGGTCCAGATAATTTTTTTCTTTCCTTTTTTTTTTTTTTTTAAGACAAGATCTCTGTCACTCAGGCTGGAGTGCAGTTGGGTGATCACAGCTCACTGCAACCTCTGCCTCCCAGGCTCAAATCATCCTCCCACCTCAGCCTCCCAAGAAGCTGGGACCACAGGTGCCTGCCACCATGCCCGGCTAATATTTTGTATTTTTGGTAGAGATGGGGTTTTGTCATGTTGCCCAGGCTGGTCTCGAATTCCAGAGCTCAAGTGATCCTCCCACCTTGGTTTCCCAAAGTGCTGGGATTACAGATGTGAGCCATTGTGCCTGGTGCCAGATAACTTTTAAGAGATATTTGTATACAGATAGCAATGATACAGAGGAGAAGGAGGACTTGAACGCTGCAGAAGATAAAAAGATAACCTATAGAAATAAAATCCTTGAGAAAGTGATGACAGATGGGGTCCTGGGCACAGGACCTGGTTGCTTTTTTCCCCATCCTAACAGGAGGGAAGGCAGAGTGTGTGCTGCAGATCCAGGTGCTTCTCTCCTGATGGCGTTGGTCTTGTGGGTCCCTAGCTAGACCACCTTCAGCTCTCATAACAGAGGGAAACTACTGGTGATATTTATGCATGCAGGCGAAGTCTTGGATCAAGGAAGAAGTACAGATTGCTGTCTCAAACCAGACACAAATTCCCAAGTGCCGGGCCCGCAGAAAATCTATGTGTCAAATACCTATCTCTCCTCTCCAACCCTGAGGTTGTTCTTGTACTTAAACCAGGCTGGTGGGTGGGTCTCACCTCTTTGGACCAGGCTTTCTTGCAGGTGAGAGCCACCGCACCTAGCCCGTGGGCTAGAGGTTTTATAAATAAAGTTTCCTTGCCTGGAGAGCTTTGAGGGGGTTCCTTTATTCAGATTTCCAAATTAGTACAGATTAGTCTAAAATTTTGTTTTATTTTTTATTTTTTAGAGACAGGGTCTTACTATGCTGCCCAGATTGATCTTGAACTCCTGGGCTCAAGCAATCATCCCACCTCAGCCTCCTGAAGTGCTGGGATTACAGGCGTGAGCCACCATCCCCGGCCCAATCTAAAATGTCGAGGGAACAGAGCTTGGTGCTGCTACAATGGGGCTTCTGCTACTCATCCTGTTCTGTTTTAGTGCAAATTAGTAGAAACAGCTTAGAGGTTTTGAAAAGAGTAGGGGTGGGGGAAAAGTAGGATGATTGAAATAGCATTTCAATTAGATTAATTGGGCTAGTTATGTAAAGATATACCTTGTAAAAAAAATAGTTATGATAGCTACAACTTACTGAATGCCTACCATGGGCTAGAGGGTTTTGTTTGTTTGTTCTTTTTTAAAAAATTATTTTTGTCCAGGTGTGGTGACTCATGCCTGTAATCCCAGCACTCTAGGAGGCCAAAGGTGGCAGATTGCCTGAGGTCAGAAGTTTGAGATCAGCTTGGCCAGCATGGTGAAACCCCCTCTCTACCAAAAATACAAAAATTAGCTGGGCATGGTGGCAGGCACCTGTAATTCCAGCTACTCGGGAGGCTGAGGCAGAAGAGTTGCCTGAACCCGGGACGTGGAGGTTGCAGTGAGCCAATATTGCGCCACTGCACTCCAGTCTGGGCAACAGACTGAGACTTCATCTCAAAAAATATATATATAAATCTTTTTTTAATTAAAAAAAAAGTAGAGACAGGGTCTTGCTGTATTGCCCAGGCTGGTCTTAAACTCCTGGCCTCAAGATCCTCCTACCTCAGCCTCCCAAAGTGCTAGGATTACAGAGGTGAGTCACCGGGCCCAGCCCATGGGCTAGGGGTTTTAGAAATGAAACAAAACAACAATTATTGACATTGGAGTCTTTTTCCTCCTGCTGTGCATTGAAAAAAGGATTTGGATTCTGGGACCCATCCGTGTGGGCCTTTGGATGCAATACGGTTACACAAATATTTCTTTCTTTACTTCCCTGCAAGCTGGGTATTAGTGTCACCACTAATTTTTGCAGATGGGGTGACTAAAGTTTACAGAGGTTGTATACCTGATCCAATTGAGTGATGCAACAAGAATTTGAATCTAGGGCTATCCAACTCTAAAATTCATGCTAGAGCTACTCTGCATGGATCATACAGGTAGGGTGCAGTGATCAAGCGTGCGGACTGTGGTGGAAGAGGGCTTGGGACTTGAGTTATGCTCCACCATTTACTAGCTCTATTGTCTTGAGCCGGTTACTCAACATCTAGCAGTCTGTGTTTCTTAATCTGTAAAACGGGGGTAGTAATGGCCCCTCCCTCAAGGGTTGCTCTGAGGATTATGTGAGACATATGGCTCAGAGCTGACAAAGGGAAGAGGCCCAATAAATGCTGGTTATTATTATAAGATACCATGCTGGCCTCTGTCTCAACCAGTCTCACTGCTTGCACCAGAAACTTACATCCTGTCTTGGAAATGTCTCACATAATAGATTGTATCCGCTTAACTTACTCTGTCCTGTGCTTCCAACACCAGGCATCTAAGAAATGCTTCAGATGATTATATTACCCAACTGCATGAGTGGGTTTGATAGCTTTTCCAAAGGGCTGGTATTTCAGTTGTGCAACTGTAACTGCTCCATGGCAATAGAAAAGATTTATTTTTTGGACCCGAATCAACCCTCAGCTCCATTTCTCAAACTCCAGCTACATCACAAGATGTCAGCGTCATGCAATATTAACAGTTGGTCAAAGGTGCTAGTGGCATTTTGCAGAAGTAATGAAGAATCCATATTGTCTAAGATTGCTTTGTTATGCCTTCTGCCCTGAGCCCTGCTCAACCTTTGAGACCAGGCTGGTGGGAAAATTTAGCTGCAAACTCACCTAGAAGGCAGTGGAAGGGCAAAAAACTTGTTTATTCAACTTTGCAAGAGTCTGGTTAAAAGGTGCCACACAGTCAAGGAAAGGGCCAAGTCACAACCTTTCCTTAGACCTAAGGAGGCAAAGAAAAAGATCTGTCAGCGCTTTTTCTTTTTTTTCGAGACAGAATTTTGCTCTTGTTGCCCAGGCTGGAGTACAATGGCACCATCTCGGCTCACCGTAACCTCTGCCTCCCGGGTTCAAACGATTCTCCTGCCTCAGCCTCCTGAGTAGCTGGGATTACAGGCATAAGCCACCTCACTTGGCTAATTTTTTGTATTTTTAGTAGAGACAGGGTTTCTCCATGTTGGCCAGGCTGGTCTCGAACTCCCGACCTCAGGTGATCCTCCTGCCTCGGCTCCCAAAGTGCTGGGATTACAGATGTGAGCCACTGAGCCTGGCTTTTTTTTTAAAAACTAAGCACAACAATGCTGGATGTGGTGGCCCACCCCTGTAATTCCAGCACTTTGGGAGGCCAAAGCCTGAGGATCACTTGAGCTCAGGAGTTTGAGACCAGCCTGGGCAACATGGTGAAACCCCGTCTCTATCAAAAATACAAAAAAAAAAAAAAAAAAAAAAGGTTTTTTTTTGTTTTTGTTTTTGTTTAAGACTAAGCACAATGAAGTAGTTTTCAAATGTTGATGATGGCCTGGCTCCTAAAGAGGAATCCGGCGTCGGGTAGGGGCGAGAAAAAGGAGGAATTTTCTCTTAGAAGGCCACTGCTATCAGCGAGGTAAGCAGTCAGCTTCATCATTTTAAACTGGTTTGTGGGACCAGATTTCTGACCTGAAGGGTGAAGAATTGTGTGCTTGCTTCAGTTGGGGTCTCTTCTAACCAGTTTGTCCTTGCTAACATTGAAGAAATTGAGTCAGCCTTTTCATACTTTAAGAACCACTTCTTCAGGGGACTTTCTCATGTCCTGAAGCTCAGAGTGTCCTCATTCTTCTTTACATCTTAGTGACACCAAGATGTGAAGTCAGAAGGGCCTGATTTAAACAACGGTCCAGTCAGGCATCTGCCTTGGTGCTTCAGGCAAGTTATCTGACCTCAGTTTCCTCATCTATAAAATCGAATTAATAAAATAACCTACTTGGATAATGTATGTGTAATGGAAAATAAAAATAGTATATTAAACCAAACTGACTACAGCTACTTCTGCCTTTTAAGGGAGGTAGACACACTTTATATCAGCAAGGAAATTCATTTTTCCTTTGTGCCTTTCCCCAGAAGTGATAGAGAGTACACATGACACAGAAGCACACAGGGAGGGAGAGAGGGAGAGAGACAGAGAAAGAGAGAGGACGTGTGCATGCACTAGCATGAGATCAGGTAGGTCTGCTATTTAACAGAGCACGGCCATGGCGTTTGGATGTACTGAGGTGGGGCAGCAGTAGAATATATGCATAGAAGCTGGAAAGAGCTGAATTGCTCCACCCAGCAAAATAAAAGGAGTATCTAGTTTTGGCGGTTTCTAAAGGTCAGTAAGTAAGGGAGAAGACAGGGATAGCCTGCACAATATTGCAGAAGGCAGAAAGAACTTAAAGGTCTAGGAGAGACCAGTTATTATTGGTTTACATGCTTATATATGTCAAATCTCTTGGAATAATTCTTGGCACCAGTGAGCCCTTAATAAATGGCAACCAGTAGCCAATGAGATAGCAAAGCTATCTCGTTGGCCACGTGTAGTATCTCTCCATGGAGAAACTGTGTCATCTGTGTGTGTGTGTGTGTGTTGGGAAAAGGAGGTAGATGGCAAACAGGGATGTAATGGGTCCAAATTCTGGCTCCATCAGGTTTATTTCTCTGTTTCTTCAAGTTGTTTACTTATTTATTTAGATGGAGTCTCGATCTGTTGCCCAGGCTGGAGAGCAGTGGTGCAATTTCAGCTCACTGCAACCTGCGGCTCCCAGGTTCAAACAATTCTCCTGCCTCAGCCTCCCGAGTAGCTGGGATTACAGGTACGCACCACCATGCATAGCTAATTTTTGTATTTTTGGTAGAGGTGGGGTTTTGCCATCTTGGCCAGTCTGATCTTGAACTCCTCACCTCAGGTGATCCTAGCCTCTGAAAGTGCTAGGATTACAGGCGTGAGCCACCACGCCTGGCCCTTCATCTTTAAATTGGGGCAAGAAAATGGTACCTTGTCTTATAAGATTTACATGAAGTTTAGATGAAATAGTCTAGGCAATTCATAATCCAGGAATTTAGTTATTCTTCACTAAATATTAGCTCTTAGGAGTGTAGATGGTCCCTGACTTATGATGGTTCCATTTAGAATTTTTCAACTTTGCAGTGGTGTGAAAGCGATACACGTTCAGCAGCAACCATACTTCAAGTACCCATGCAACCATTCTGTTTTTCACTTTTGGTAATGTTAAAATGGAAATGAGATATTCAACACTTTATTATAAAATTGGCTTCGTGTTAGATGATATTGCTTAACTGTAGGCTGATGTAAGTGTTCTGAGCATGTCTGAGTAGACTAGGCTAAGCTATGATGTTCAGTAGCTTAGGTGTACTAAATGCATTTTTAAAATTTATTATTTATTTATTTATTTATTTTGAGATGGAGTCTCGCTCCATCGCCCAGGCTGGAGTGCAGTGGCGCCATCGCCATTCACTGCAAGCTCCGCCTCCTGGGTTCACGCCATTCTCCTGCCTCAGCCTCCTGAGTAGCTGGGACTACAGGCCCCCGGCTAATTTTTTTTGTATTTTTAGTAGAGACGGGGTTTCACCTTGTTAGCCAGGATGGTCTTGATCGCCTGACCTTGTGATCTGCCCGCCTTGGCCTTCCAAAGTGCTGGGATTACAAGCCTGAGCCACTGCGCCCAGTTTTAAATGCATTTTTGACTTAGGATATTTTCAACTTAGTTTATCAAGATGTAACCCCATTGTAAGTAAGAAACATTTGCATTCCACAATAATAGTCATATGAAGATGGTACACTGTCCTAAAACAAGGGCTTTGTGGTTTTATTTTTTAATTTTTTACATTTTTAAATGTTTTTGAGATGGAGTCTTGCTGTGTCACCCAGGCTGGAGTGCAGTGGCATGATCTTGGCTCACTGCAACCTCCACCTCCAGGGTTCAAGCGATTCTCCTGCCTCAGCCTCCCGAGTAGCTGGGATTATAGGTGCATGCCACGATGCCTGGCTAATTTTTGTATTTTTAGTAGAGACGGGGTTTCGCCATGTTGGCCAGGCTGGTCTCAAACTCCTGACCTCAGGTGATCTGCCCACCTTGGCCTCCTAAAGTGCTGGGATTACAGGCATGAGCCACCATGCCTGGCCGGTAGTTTTATTTTAAAATTAACACGTGCTGTACCTTTACGGCAGAAAACTTAAAAAGCAGAGCAGAGAAAAACAACCACCACTCCAACAAAAAGATCGCAGCTGCTAACATTTTGGTTTGTGTCTTTTTGTTTTTTATTCTCCCAAGTATATGTACATCTTTTTCTATCTTTTCAAAATGTGATACTGTTCTACAGTATGCTTCCCCCTTCCTGGTTTTTTAAACTTAGCAATAGACTGTGAATCTTTCCCATGGATGAATTGCTTCTTAAAATAGATGTTCCATTGAAAGTAGCCATATCCTGGGCCGGTAGATTCGTTACTATTCTTTTCTTCTTCCTCTTTTTTTTTTTTTTTTTTTTTTTTTTTTTAGTTGAGACGGAATCTCGCTCTGTCGCCCAGGCTGGAGTGCGGTGGTGCGATCTCGGCTCACTGCAAACTCCGCCTCCCAGGTTCACGCCATTCTCCTGCCTCAGCCTCCCGAGTACCTGGGATTATAGGTGTATGCCACCACACCTGGCTAATTTTTGTATTTGTAGTAGAGACGGGGTTTCGCCATTTTGGCTAGGCTGGTCTCGAACTCCTGACCTCAGGTGATCTGCCCACCTCGGCCTCCTAAAGTGCTGGGATTACAGACATGAGCCACCACGCCTGGCCGGTGGTTTCATTTTAAAATTAACACGTGCTGTATGTTTACGGCAGAAAACTTAAAAAGCAGAGCACAGAAAAACAACTACCACTCCCAACAAAAAGATCACAGCTGCTAACATTTTGGTTTGTGTCTTTTTGTTTTTTATTCTCCCAAGTATATGTACATCTTTTTCTATCTTTTCAAAACGCGATATTGTTCTACAGTATGCTTCCCCCTTCCTGGTTTTTTAAACTTAGCAATAGACTGTGAACCTTTGCCATGGATGAATTGCTTCTTAAAATAGATGTTCCATTGAAAGTAGCCATATCCTGGGCCAGTAGATTCGTTACTATTCTTTTCTTTTTTCTTTTCTTTTCTTTTTCTTTTCTTTTCTTTTTTTTTTTTTTTGAGACGGAGTCTCGCTCTCTCGCCCAGGCTGGAGTGCAGTGGCGCGATCTCGGCTCACTGCAAACTCCGCCTCCCAGGTTCACGCCATTCTCCTGCCTCAGCCTCCCGAGTAGCTGGGACTACAGGCGCCCGCTACCACGCCCGGCTGAGTTTTTGTATTTTTTTTAGTAGAGACAGGGTTTCACCGTGTCAGCCAGGATGGTCTTGATCTCCTGACCTCATGATCCGCCCGCCTCGGCCTTCCAAAGTGCTGGGATTACAAGTGTGAGCCACCGCGCCCGGCCTCTTTTTTTTTTTTAAAGGTGCGGATGCCCATGGCTGTCCAAATCTGTGAAGCTCTGCACACTGCATTTCCTTCTTGGAAAATTAGCACGTGCATATTAGCATGTAGCAAGCTCTGCAAAGCCCTTTCGTAAACAAGCTCCTCGACTTTGATTAGATCAGTGTTTTCCAAACTGATTTAACACTGGAGCCACTTATTCTCATAACTCCTATTAATGTCT
This sequence comes from Homo sapiens, assembly GCF_000001405.40. Taxonomy (NCBI): domain Eukaryota; kingdom Metazoa; phylum Chordata; class Mammalia; order Primates; family Hominidae; genus Homo; species Homo sapiens. The sequence continues at coordinate 33,971,568 of NC_000011.10, read as the reverse complement.
CAGGATTCATTTGGGGAAACACTGTTGCAGGCTGAAGCTTCTTTAAGAGGAAGGAGAAGGTCTTGTGCATTTTTGTTGTTTCCACGCTGCCTTACAACTGGGTTTTAAAGAAATTATGAAAAATGGGATTGGATTGATGAATTCACTTCTAACCAACAGCCACACACGTGTAACTTGGGGGCCAAGGTTAGAGGCTGGGGCTGCACTCCGGAGTGCCTCTCAGTGTAAAGCTAATTGGCCCCTTTGGGGGATGAACCTCTGAACTTGGCCTCGTTAGTGCCGGCACAGAACAGCTGAGTTGGTTTATCTGGTGCCATAAAATTGTTCTCTCACCCAGATTCTCATGCTGTCCTCCAGGTGGCAATGCTGGTTTGTCAACCTTCTGAGATAGCGCCTGATACTTGGGCCGAGCAAAGATGGAAATGGAAGGGAAGCAGATGCGGATGAGGAATGGAGTTGGGAGTGGAGTGATTATTGAAAATTAGAAGACACCCTGTCAGGTTTGCAGCTGACATGAAGCTGAAGCGCAGCCTCATACATTGGGTGTCCAGATTCAGATTTTAAGGAATCTTGAGGAACCAGTAAGCCACAAGTAAATATTACTAGCATTTATTGAGCACCAACTATGGGGCTTACAACGTGCCAGATCATTTCATTCATTGTTTCTTTTAATGCCCTCAACAGACCTATGAGGTAGGTCTTGGAGGTTGAAATAATGGAGCTGGAAATTGGACCTTGATTCCTAAGGCCTGGTATTGTATATGAGAGCTTTGCTAGACTGAAATAAGAGGATATTTACCAGGGATGAAACATGCAAAATGTTTATCCATCTATCTATCTATCTCTCTATCTATCTATCTATCTATCTATCTATCTATCTATCTGCCTATCTCTCATCTATCTCTCATTTCATTAGTGTAGGATGGGCCTGATAACATTTCATGAAATTAATACTAGGGTTTTTTTTTTTAAGTTAGCCACCTGCTAAATAAATCAGTTACAGTTCTGGACTGCATCCTTTAAATGACAACACTCAGATCAGGACAGTGGAGATATTTATTTCCTAGCTCTTCTTTTCATTCTCGTGGTCACTATGCAAGATAAACATGGCCACACTGAATGATCCCAGAGTGGCCGGCTTAAAGTCTAGTTGTAGCACTGAGTGGTTCTACTCAGTATAACTGTATCTCTATTATACTTGTCACCTAGGAAATGTTGAAATTATTTCCCTAAATGCCTCATTCTCCCAGTGGACCATGCGTTTCTTGAGGGAAGAAACCATGCCCTTCATTTCTGTATTCATAGGGCCTAGCAAAGTACCTGGTACATATTAATAGTAAGTCATTAGTAAAGCTTTTTTTGAGATAGGGTCTGGCTCTGTGGTCCAGGCTGGAGTGCAGTGGCACGATCTTGGCTCACTGCAACCTCTGTCTGCCAGGCTTAAGAGATCCTCCTGCCTCAGCCTCCTGAGTAGCTGGTACTACAGGCACACACCACCACACCTGGCTAATTTTTTTATTTTTAGTAGAGACAGGGTTTTGCCATGTCGCCCAGGTTGGTCTCAAACTGCTGAGCTCAAGCGATCTGCCTGCCTTGGCCTCCCAAAGTGCTGGGACTACAGACTGAGCCACCACACCCAGCAAGCAAAGTTTAAATGAATGGATGAGTAAGTAAATGAAAGCTGTCTCCTGCAGAAATGTAATCAGAGCATGAACTGATGAAGGAACTGAGGAAGCTTAGTCTAGCCTAGAATAAAGAAGACCTGAAGGAGCTAGAACTATCTTGCAAGATGTAAAAGGCTGTTATAGGCATGAGGTTGTAGTGCAAGTTTGTGCTTCTTCAAGTGGAAGGCCAAGGAAGGCCAGTCTCTTAAACAAACAAGAATCTAACAGCAATCGCCTTTCCATCTCCTGAACCAGAGGTGGGATGGCCATCAGGTGGGAATGTGGGAGAAGGAGTTTCTGCATCGTGTGTCAGGCTGAACAAGAGGCCACTCAGGCTTGCAGCGGTCTTGTCACCACTTTGTGCCAGTGCCCAGAATAGTGCTGGCCACATAGAAGGCACTTGATAAATATTTACTGAAGAAATGAATAAACAGTCTTCTACTAATTGAAGATTCATTCAACTAACATTTATTAAATTTTTCTGTGTGTTAGGTCTGTGCTTGGCTGCAGAGGCTGTTTCAGGTAAAAGGACTCAGTCCCATCCTAAGGGGGAGTGTATCATTCTGGTTGGAGCACCAGGTAGAGCTAGACTGTCTGGGTTTGAAATCCAGCCCTGCCAATTACTTTACTTTGTTATGCCTCAGTTTCCTCAACTATAAAACGGGAGTGAAAATAGCATTCACCCGAAGGAATTATTTTGATAACTAAGTGAATTAACACTTGGCATTAACCACTCAAATGTTAATGATTATCATGGTACAGACTTTCCAGCAGGGCCACAGGTAAGTTACTATTATGTGATGGATGCTTTGATGGGTGCATCCAGACTGAAATATGTGAGCACCTGGACAGGTTAATAAATAGAAATTTTATCGAATCAATGTGCTGTAAATCTTTATTCAGTTTTGGGTTTTTTTGTAACAGAGTCTCGCTCTGTCATCTAGGCTGGAGTGCAGTGGTGCCATCATGGCTTACGGCAGACTCAACCTCCTAGACTCAAGCGATCCTCCCACTTCAGCCTCCCAAGTAACTGGGACCACAGGCATGCGCCACCACACCTGGCTAGTTTTTACAATTTTTGTAGAGATGGGGTCTCGCTATGTTGCCCAGGCTGATCTTGAACTCCTGGGCTCAAGCAGTCCTTCCACCTTGGCCTTCCAAAGTGTTGAGATTACAGGCATGAGCCACCACACTTGGCCATTTATTCAGTTTTTAAAACGGAAGAGGCTGAGCACTTGCGGAGGCAGGACTGCTGCTCACCCACCAGAGTTTTTTGGTGGTACTTTCCCTTCCTCTAGAGCTTTCTAGCATATACACTAGACATATATATTATATGTTGGGACCCTGTCAGGAGGGAAGGGCGAAGAAAGGAGGCCTGACACCCAAAGTTCTGAGCAATTCCACTCTGGCCCCAAATTCGCATTCCCCACTGGACCAAACAACCACTCCACAGTAAAACAGAGGTGACACCCTTGGAAGGCATGCCCCTTGGGGCACATTACCCCCAACCCTGAGGGACTTATCAGCATATTATTTCTAACCACATAGTGTACTATCCTGACAGGATTCTAGGAGATAAAATTTTTCTAATCTTATTACATCTCCTGTGATTTTTATTCCCCCTTGTAGATTTCTGCCCCAGGTGGTTGATCAGCTGGTCACCCCTTAACCCCTCTCTGCTCATGGGGGCTGTACAGAGTGCCCTGAGGTTGGTACCTGGTCCTGAATTGGAGGGTCAGGGAAGGGTACCTGGTCCTGAATTGGAGGGTCAGGGAAGACTAAAGGATATGTAGGAGTTAGCTATGCAAGCAGTTGGCAGGAATGGAACAGCATGTGCAAAGACCTGAGGTCGGTGGAGCATGGCACATTCAGGGGAATGGAAGTAGTTTAGTGTGGCTGGCACATAGGGCATAGGGTGTGTGCATGGAGAGGGAGAATGAAGAAAATGCTGGAGAGGTGTGCAGGCTCAAGCTCGTGAGTGGCCGTGGAGGTTGTGTTAAGGACTTTAAGCTTGATCCTGAGCCACAGTAGGTATCTCTGAAGGGTTTTAAGGAAGGTGGTGAATGGAACAGGTTTGCATTTTAGAAAGAGCACCCCATCTGGAGAAGGGATCAAGAAGGATGGGTGTGTGTATGTGTGTGTGGGTGCGTGTGCATGCGCGTGTGTGCACACTCCACCGCAAATGTGCTGGGGAAGGGATGGTGTGGTAGGTAGGGCTGGATGCAGGGAGAAGAGTTAGGAGGGTGTTGCAATACCTCCTGCAAGAGATGAGGGGACACTGAAATAAGAAAGCCACAGCATCGTGAATGGAGAGAGTTGTAAACACATTTGGGAAGAATTAACAACCTCTGGCTATTGGCTGGAAGCTGAGGATAATATTTTGGGAGTTCTCTGGCTCTTAACGACAGTATGTGCAAGATACTAGGCCAAAACCAAAGGGACAAAAATGTTACATGTGAATGCCTGACCCCCCCTTCTTGACTAGAAGTATTGTACCTACAATTTCTTTCTCTCTTCCTCCTTTTTTTTTTTCTCTTTAAAATGTCTCCTTATATAGTATACAGTAAAGAGCTTGGGTATGAGTTAGGCTGTCATTAACCACAGCAGTAAGGTTTATTATGGTGTGTATTTTCACTTATTTGAACCACATTTATTCAATTGTAAATAGGGAAGCTGGGTGTGGTTGTGTGCACCTGTAGTCCTAGCTAATCGAGAGGCTGAGGTGGGAGAATTGCTTGAGCCCAGAAGTTAAAGGCCGTAGTGCTCTATATTTGTGCCTATGAGTAGTCATTGTACTCCAGCCTGGACAACATAGCGAGACTCCATTTCTAAAAAAATAAAATTAAAAAACTTATCAAGTTGTACACTTTATTTTTTTATTTGAATTGTACACCTTAAATATGTGCAGTTATTGCATGTCAATTACATCTCAATAAAACTGTTTTATTGATTGATTGATTGATTGATTGATTGATTGAGATGGAGTCTCTGTTACCCAGGATGGAATGCAGTGGCCGATCTTGGCTCACTGAAACCTCTGCCTCCTGGGTTCAATTCATTCTCCTACCCCAGCCTCCCAAGTTGCTGGGATTGCAGGTGCCCGCCACCATGCCCGGGTAATTTTTGTATTTTTAGTAGCAATGGGGAGACGGGGATTTGCCATGTTGGACAGGCTGGTCTCAAACTCCTGACCTCAGGTGATCCACCCGCCTTGACTTCCTGAAGTGCTGGGATCACAGGCATGAGCCACCGTGCCTGGCCTCAATAAAGCTGTTTTAGAAAATTATAAATGGGGATAGTCATACCTACCTCATAGCATTAGGATTATGATTCAGTGTGGGTTTTTCCATTTGGACCCAGACCTGAATTTCTTGCTGATGGAGGATGGGACACTGCACCACCCTGCACCCATGTACCCAAGCTGAAACCCCATGATTCCCCCTTCCTTTACCGCTACCCCCACGTGAATCACTGTCACTTGTTGCTTTGATGGCTGCAGTAGCTTCTTTTTTTTTTTACATTTAATTATTTATCTTTTTTATTTTTTAAATTTTCCACCCCAGAAAATCCTTAATGCACCAGCTTCTTCTGTGCCACTCTGCTTCCACTTTCCTCCTTCTATGAGCCTTTTTCCCTTTCCTCCATAGGGCAGTAAGGTGATCTATTTTGTTGTTTCAGTTCATTGTTTTTGTTTGTTTGTTGTTTGTTTGCTTTTTTTTTGAGATGGAATTTTACTCATCGCTCAGGCTGGAGTGCAATGGCACGATCTTGGCTCACTGCAACCTCTGCCTCCCAGGTTCAGGCAATTCTCTTGCCTCAGCCTCCAGAGTAGCTGGGATTACAGGCATGCACCACCACGCCTGAATAATTTTGTATTTTTAGTAAGACAGGGTTTTACCATGTTGGCCAAGCTGGTCTCGAACCCCTGACCTCAGGTGATCCACCTGTCTTGGCCTCCAAAGTGCTGGAATTATAGATGTGAGCCATCGCGCCCTGCCTGGTTGGTTGTTTTTTGTAACAACTTTATTGAGATATAATTCACATACTATAAAATGCACCCATTTAAAGCATTCTTGAGTATATTCACAGAGTTGTGCAACCATTACTGCTAATTTTTATAACATTTTAATCGCCCCAAAAAGGAACCCCATACTCATTAGTAGTCACTCCTTATTCCTCCTTCTCCCCAGAAGGAGAGCAACAGCTAATCTATTTTCTCTTAGTTCTGGCAACAACTAATCTATTTTCTTTCTCTATGGATTTGCCTATTCTGGATATTTCATGTAAATGCAATCATACAAAACTGGCTTCTTTCAATTAGCATAATATTTTTAAGGTTCATCTATGTTGTAGCATGTATCAGGATTCTATTCATTTTCACAGCCAAATGATATTACATTGCATGCATGTAATGCATTTTGTTTATCATTTATCAGCTGATGGATCTTTGAGTTTTTTCTGCTTTTTGGCTCTTATGAATGATGCTGCTATGAACATTTGTATACAATATTTTATATGGACTTAGGTTTTCAGTTGTTTCAGGTGCATACTTAGAAGTGGAATTGCTGGATCATGTAATAACTCCATGTTTAACATTTTTTATGGGCTGTCAAATTGTTCTCTAAAGTGGCTGCATCATTTTACAACCTGCCAGCAACCCACCAATTTCTCCACATCCTTGCCAACACTTGTCATCCTAGTGGATATGAAGGGGTATCATTGTGGTTTTGATTTGCATTTCTTTAATGATTAGTGATGTTGAGCATCTTTTCATGTGCTTATTGGTCATTTTTATATTTTCTTCGGAGAAATGTCTCTTCATGTCCTTTGCCCATTTAAAAAGTTGGGTTGCCTTTTTATTATTGAGTGTAGGAGTTCTTCATATATTCTGGATACAAGTCCCTTATCAGACATATGATTTGCAAATATTATCTCCCATTCTTATGGGTTTTTACTTTCTTTGTAGTGTGCTCTGAAGCACAAACATTTTTAATTTTTTGAGAACTCCAATATATCTTTTTCTTCTTTTGTTGCCTGTGCTTTGGTGTTGTATCTAAGAAACCATCACCTGAACCAACGCCACAAAGATTTATTTCTACGTTTTCTTCTAAATATTTTATAGTTTTAGGCCTATTTATTTGTTTACTTGGTTATTGCCCCTTCCACTCACTTAAGCCCCATGAGGACCAGGCCATGTCTATCTTATTGACCTTAATCTGTAACACCTACTATAGTGTCTGGCACATAATAGGTGCTCCGTAAATATTTTTTTAAAGAGCGTCGTAAATGTTTCTTCTGTTCCCAGCATCCTTTCCACTTTTTGCCGATTCTGTTACCCCCATTTGACATCACCTTTTGCCTGGATTTTCTTCCATTTCTGTTTTTCATAAAATGTGAAACCATGGAGTAGAACATCCATTTTTGCTCTTTTTGGTTTTCTTTTCTTTCCTCTTCTTATTGCTTTTAGCATGTAAAAATCGGTGTCAGGATTCAGTTCTCCAGCCCATAACAATTTTATTTTTCTTTTCTGAAACCTTTGCAATGGCAGCTCAACATAGTGTTCTCTTGGTCTTGTGTTTTCATATGAGTAAGACTTTTCTCGTCAATGAAGATGTAGGCTCTCTGAGAACAGAAGTTGTCTTCTAACCCAGAGAGTGGTTGTTTGAGTTCTGGACAAGTAAATGTCAATAAACACTAGGGGGTTGATCAGCAGCCCTTTTAAAAACCCAATAAGACTCAGGTGTGCTATGCTTAAAATGTCATAAATTCTGAATCAATGGATTCTGAAATTGTTAGAACCCTACAGCATACAAAATTTAATTAACCAAGCACTTTTTGTGAGGAAATTTTATTAGAAGTAATCACATAATACTACTGGCCATTATCACGTAATATTATTGGCCATTACTTTCAATGGCAAAAACTGCAATTACTTTTGCACCGACCTAAGAATACTATGTATTCTCAAAAATCCTGCAGAATAATTTCCTCTGGGTGCCTCTGTTTAAACAGAGAAACAGGGCCCTTTGTTTGGTGTAATATCTCTGCACACATTTCTGCCTCATATCAATTCAGCAGGATTATAATCATAAAAAAGAAAAACCCCTTCATCTTAATGTTAAACTGTACTCCCCCTGCTGATAGAAATTCTTTTGATGAAGACCACAGCCAGAAACATGGCTAAAGACCATTTTACCTGAAAGCCCCTCATTCTGGATTAAATTTTTTTTTTTTAGTTTGCCATCTTGTTTAGCATTTATAGATATCCCAATACCTGAGAAGTAACCTCAAAAGATGATTGAAACTTTTGATCCAAGAAATAACTCACACATTTGTTTTGCTTTGCTCTAATCTTCAGAGCTGTGCATCATGCTGACAAGTCCTCGATTTTTAAAAAACACATTTTCCTTTGGGCTTTCCCCCGCTTTCATTGTGGTAATATTTTCTCCTATCTTCCATCTGCTAAAAAAGTAGGTGTAACAGTCTAATCAGCTTTTACCAACTTTTCTGCAAGAACAAGGCAGAAAATATGAAGATATAAATCAAAAATTGTTATTATTGTTTATGTAGTGGTGATATATAGTTCCACTGGGCTTCGTGTTTTACATGGCCACTTTGAAAACACAGAACGCTGCTCAGGCACCAGCGATTTGTTTCTGAGCCCTGTGCTTGGATGTTTCTAATAAATATTATTCTGTCTCTGATTTTATGATATCAACAAGATACCAAAGCAATAAAATATTTTCAGACTCCTCATATTAAGTCTATGTTGTCAAACAAAGATAATGACCCTGAACTTCAAGAATGGTAGGTAGACAAAACATTAGGCATAAAATAGCTAAATTTTTGTAAATCATAATAATTATGATGATAGTTTTATGCCATGGGACAATGTCAGGAAGGATGTATATAAACATATTAAGCCATGTTATTTCTTAATAGAGAAATTGTAGGTGATTTTAATTTTCTTTTTCTTTTTTTGCTTATCTGTATTAATTTTTCTTCATGAGTGAATATTACTTTTGAATTTAAGAAGATCGTTTTCTTTTTTTTTTTTTTTCAGACAGGGTCTCACTTTGGTCCACTAGGCTGGAGTGCAGTGATGTGATCACAGGTTATTGCAGCCTCAACCTCCTGAGCTCAGGTAATCCTCCCACCTCAGCCCCCTAAGTAGCTGGGACTACAGGCATGTGCCACCACTCCTGGCTAATTTTTTCGTATTTTTGGTAGAAACCAGGTTTCATAATGTGGACCAGGCTGGTCCTGAACTCTTGGGCTCAAGTGATCTACTTGCCTTGGCCTCCCCAAATGCTGGGATTACAGGTGTGAGTCACCAGGCCTGACCAAAAAAGATCTTTTTCAAAGAAGAGTACATAGGAAGAGTTGATAAAACTAAAGAAAAATAGAAAAATTAGCATTCTTTAATGGAAAATAGAATAGCTTCTGAGAAAGTGAAAATCTGATGAACTTCTATTAATTTCTGAGTTCATATTGTGCACATTTTCTGTTAGCTTTGATGAAAGCACTGACTACCTGTTATCTACCCCCATCCTTGTATCTAAGCCAACATATCTACTTGCCAGATACCAAGAGAAGCAAGTAGCAGACTCTTCCGGTGGGAAACTAGGTTTCTCATTTGATTCCCAATTGGCTCCCACTCCAATCTTATTTCCACCTGGCTCCTGATTCCTGGCTTTTTCTCCTATCTAAAACCCTTTGATTACAGGCTCATGTCTGCAATCCCAGCACTTTGGGAGGCCAAGGCGGGAGGATCACTTGAGGTCAGGAGTTTGAGACCAGCCTGGCCAACATGGTGAAACCCCGTCTCTACTAAAAATACAAAAATTAGCCGGGGGTGGTAGTGGTAGTGGGTGCCTGGAATCCCGGCTACTCGGGAGGCTGAGGCAGGAGAATTGCTTGAACTTGGGAGGTGGAGGTTGCAGTGAGCAGGGATCACATCACTGCACTCCAGCCTGGGCGACAGAGAGAGACTCTGTCACAAACAAACACCCTGTGATTCCCTCATGACACCCTAAAGACTTGGTCTAAAGTCAACCTTCCAGCTCTCAAGAGTGGCGACTTCTCTCAGCTCACAATCCCATGTCCTAGCTGTCATGTCCTCTAGAACCACCTTAAGCCATTTTCCCCTCTTCCTTGTCTTAAGATCATCAAGGAAGACAAGATTGAGAGCCCCCTCTTTATTATAATAATTCACCATCTCACCTCTTAGGGCCTCATCTTGCAGTGTTATTTGGGAACAGAAGAGCTTATGTGAAGTGGCAGAGAAGGACCCAAAGATACACAGTTGTAGTGTTGAGAGTAGTGGCTTTGGGTCAAACATCTGGGAGATAGTCAAATACATGAATCAGAATGGCCACATCCACTGTTTATGGCTGGTGTTTATCCTGACTGGTCAGTACCCATACCTTATCAGTTGTTAAGTATTTTGATATTCTCAGGGTAAAGTTTTAGTGTTGTAAATTGACAGTACTTAACATTAGACCTGAACTTGAGTATGACTTAGGGCCTGCCATTTACCTTTTCTAAGCCTTGGTTTACACTTTGGAAAAATGGAGATACTAATCCTGCTGTGTCCACGTCAAAGAGTAAGTGTGATGATCCAATTGTCATAACAGGTGCAGAAGTTCTCTGTAAACTGTGAGAGACTGTGCATAGGCCAGGGATGATGATAAAAATGATCGATAATGATGATAGCAATGTTGATGGTGAAGGTCAAGGTGATGGTGATAATAAAGAATATAAAGAAGACAAACTTGGGAACACCATGGCGATTCTTTTTCAGTTCAAGATGCTACAGACGTTGCTCCCTGGCTCCCAATTCACAGTAACAGTTAGGCAGAAGCATATAAACTGGCAGCATCAACCCTCTCTGGTTTACGCTCTTGTGGCTCCCAGGTTGTTCACTGGCCTAGTGCTGATAGGCACTTCCCTTTGTCTGTGGGCATTCATTCCATGATTTATTTCACTTCCTAGCTGGGAAACCCTTCTATCGTATAATTCCCAACACCTGGGACAGCTCTTGATGTCCATTTAATGATCTGCTAGGAACTAGAGCCAGCAAAATGAAAGTGTGGAATTATCCCACTGGGCTCCTGCACCCCACTGTGGCAGAACCGGAGCTGGATTTTCATGTGCCTCTTTCTGAGATGTGTTCTGTGATCCCAAATCCACTCTGCAAATGTCTTGGGTGAGCTGTTGGTTGTGGCCAGATGGAGTTAATAAGTGGCTCCAGACTGGGTGTGGTGGCTCACGCCTATAATCCCAGCACTTTGGGAAGCTGAAGCAGGTGGTCACTTGAGCTCAGGAGTTTGAGACCAGCCTGGCCAACATGGCGAAACTCTGTCTCTACCAAAAATACAAAAATTAGCTGGGTGTGGTGGCGGGTGCCTGTAATCCCAGCTGGTCGGGAGGCTGAGGCAGGAGAATTGCTTGAACCTGGGAGGTGGAGGTTGCAGTGAACCAAGATTGCGCCACTACACTCCAGCCTGGGCAACAGAGGAATCTCAAAAAAAAAAAAAAGGTGGTTCCATTCCTCTCTCCTTCACTTCCTTTCTTGTCCTTGCCTGCCACCCCTCTCCCTTCTCTTTATGAAGACTTTGGGTCTTCATACAGTCATATAGGATGCTTCTGGCTGACCTTGGCAAGATCCCCCCACCCTGACCTTCTAGAAAGGTACTGAAAGCACCATGGAGTCTGTTCCAATAGAGGAAACACATGCTCACTGGATAATTGGCCCCTATAATTCATTCAAAGCAATGATGGTGTGGCAGAGAGGTTTAAATCCTGTGGCCTTGGAGGGCAAAGCACACTCCAGAAAGGTTTCCCTTTTCCTTTGTAAATTGCGAAATAAACGCACTTCCTGCAGAGAAGTTCCCCTCTTTGTGAGGCCTTTGCTGTTCCTACACATACTGTAAATGGACTCTGGGATTTTCTTCTCACTTTCCCCATGCTTTGAGCTCAGGTCCTAAAAAGTTACACAGCGACAAGGTAGTGGGGAGAAGATAAGATGAGCCAAACCTTAAACACTCCTAAAGCCTTCTCATATACAAGGAGAGATCAGGGCCTCAGGGCAGGGTCACGGGGAGGGTGGAGGGGGTCAGTCATTTCCCAGCGGCCTCACATTCACAAAAGATTTCAAATTTGACTTTATATAAATTATCTCTGAATAAGCATTGGCATATAGTCACAACAATACAACAATAGACTTAAACCATTAGGTCGGGCATGGTGGTTCACACCTGTAATCCCAGCACTTTGGGAGGCCAAGACGGGCAGATCACTTGCGGTCAGGAGTTCAACACCAGCCTGGCCAACATGGTGAAACCCGGTCTCTACTAAAAATGCAAAAATTAGCCAGGAATCGTGGCACATGCCTGTGGTCCCAGCTACTCAGGAGGCTGAGGCATGAGCATCACTTGAACTTGAGAGGCAAAGGTTGCAGTGAACCGAGATTGCCCCTCTGCACTCCAGCCTGGGCAACAGAGCAAGACTCCATCTCAAAAAAAAAAAAAAAAAGAATTTAACCGTTAGAGCATCACAATTTCTGTTTGACCCAGTTTTGGCATTTTCTAATATACAGTTATGCACCTAATAATGACACTTTGGTCAATGATGGACAGTGGTACCATACTGTTCTAATGGAGCTGAAAAATTCCTATCACCTAGTGATGTCTTGATGATCCTGACCCTGTGTAAGCCTAGGCTAATCATGTATTTGTGTCTTTGTTTTTTTTTAATTTTTAATTCTTTTTATTATACATTTTTTAAGGACAAGGTCTTGCTCTGTTGCCCAGGCTGGAGTACAGTGGTAACATCAGAGCTCCCTGCAGCCTTGAACTCCTGGGCTCCAGCAATCTTCCAGCCTCAGCCTTCCAAGTAGGTGGGTCTACAGGCAAGCACCACCATGCCCAGCTAACTTTTAAAAAATTTTTGTGGAGCCTGGGCCTCGCTATGTTGCTCAAGCTGGCCTTGAACTCCTGGACTCAAGTGATCCTCCCCTCTCAGCCTCCCAAGTTACTGGGATTACAGGCATGAGCCACCATGCCCAGCTCTGTGTCTTCATTTTTAACAAAAAAGTTTAAAAAGTAAAAAATTTAAAAATCGAAAAAAGCTTATAGAATAAGAACATAAAGAAAATATTTTTTATACCCATACAAATATTTTTGTAAGCTAAATGTTATTACACAAGAGCCAAAAAGCTTTAAAAATCTAAAAGTTTATAAAGTAAAAGAGGTATAGTAAGCTAAGGTTAATTTATTATTGAAGATAGAAAAGTATTATTATTTTTTATTTTTTTATTTTATTTCTTAGAGATGACATCTCACTATGTTGCCCAGGCTGTTTTCAAATTCCTGAGCTCAAGTGATCCTCCTGCCTTGGTCTCCCAAAATGCTGGGATTACAGGCATGAGCCACCATGACTGGCCTAGAGAACAATATTTTTAATAAATTTAGCCTAAGTGCACAGTGTTTATAAAGGCTGCAGTAGTGTACAGTGATGTCCTAGGCCTTCACATTCACTCACTAACTTACCCAGAGCAACTTCCAGTCCTGCAAGCTCCATTTATCGTCAGTGCCCTATACAGGTATACCATTTTTAATCTTTTTTTTTTTTTTTTTTTTGAGACAGTGTTTCAATCTTATTGCATGGGCCGAGTAACTGTAATCCTGAGTAACTGGGATTACAGGTGTCTGCCACCATGCCCGGCTAATTTTTTGTATTTTTTTTTTTTAAGTGGAGACAGGGTTTCACCGTGTTGGCCAGGCTGGTCTCAAACTCCTGACCTCAGGTGATAAACCCACCTTGGCCTCCTAAAGTGCTGAGATTACAGGCGTGAGCCACCACGCCTGGCCAGAAGGATATCTTAAGCCTGGGAGGCAGAGGTTGCAGTGAGCCAAGATGGCGCTCAGCCTTTAATCTTTTATACCACATTTCTACTGTACCTTTTCTATGTTTAAATGTGTTTAGATACACAAATGCTTACCATTGTGTTACAGTTGCCTACAGTATTCAGTGCAGTAACATGTTCTACAGGTGTGCAGCCTAGGAGCAATGGGCTACAGCATGTAGCCTAGGTGTGTAGTAGGCTATGCCATCTAGGTTTGTATGAGTACATTCTATGCTGTTTAAACAACGATAAAATCGCCTAATGATGCATTTCTTAGAACATATCTCTGTGGTTAAGTGAAGCATGAGTGTACAAGGAACCTCTCTTGACCTCTGAGAGACTCCAGGTATGACAATGAAGCAGCCAGGCTGTATGAGGAGAAGCTGGTTTGGGTGTCCGTTTACAGGAGGAATTATTCTTTGTGGTTGCTACATTTGACCATCTTTACAGTCCTGTAAAGTTGGTACTGTTATCAGCCCCATTGCACAGATGAGGAAACTGAGGTCTTCCTCAAGGTCACATAGCTAGAAAGTAGTGAAGCTGGGGTGCAAATCCAGGTTGTTCTCAGCATCTTTCCATCCTTCCATTATTGACAACACCGTCCATCATTTTACAGCTAACCGTACTTGTTGTGGTGCACTGGGTACCTCAGACCATCTTCCCAGGGGCCCCACCTCCTCCCTGGACCGCTCCCTGGGATGTAATTGCAGGAACTCTCAGGAGCTTAGGCTTATGTCTGAGTTAGGATCCTCTAAAATATGCTCCTGAGCGAGTCCAAGGCATCTGATGCCTTGATTGCCCCCAGTGACATCAAGTTTCAGTTAGTCTGACCAGCCTGAGCAAATTTCTTTGTTCTAGTCACCTCTGCTTCCATCAAAAATAACAGGTTGCTGAGAAGCTGGACTTCAGCCCTCCTGCTCAGATGAGTGAACACTGAATCTGCACTCAGAGCAGGCCCCTAAATTTAAAGAAGCCCTCGTGTTCTATATTTTGACAGGTCGAGAAATCTAATCCATTTATTTTGAAAACCCAGTAAGCCCAGCCAATATGGGATATTTAGAAAGGCCAGAATTTTGCTTTTGGTCAGAAGGTCAGTGCTGTCATAAAATAACGGCTAAAGGAAGTGAAACAAAACAGTTTATCATAGGGCTAGAATTCCCAAACATTCTTTAAAAATACATTTTCAGTTAAAATAAAACAAAACAAAAACACAGCATATTGAATTGGCGGAAATTGCCAGCACTCTACACTCTCTTTGTTCAGAGGACTTATTCAATTTTGTACCCCTACTTCTCAGAGCAGTGACAGGCACATAGTAAATGCTCAATAAATGTTTGATGAGTGAGACTCAAAATAGTTTACTTTGCTATTTAATATTTTTTCCCAGGTAATAGTTTCTCTTGTTCCCAATGGTGGTTAAATCGTCCTTAAGAAAATAACATCTGATTTTAGTGCTCTGGGGTTTTGGAAATGAGTGTCAGGATAAGTAAGTTTGATTCTTCTTGGCACCTTGAATTATGTTATTGATGATACAGATAACAGGGTCGTATGATAAGATTCTCTAAAGATAACGTATTTGACCATTTCAACCTTGTGAAAGGGGCATGGGAGATGTTATTATTCTTATGTCACCCCCAGGAAGGGTGCATAAGTACAGACCATTACTTAATAGAAAATAACACTCCTGATGTTCAGAAGATGGTGCAAGACCTTCTTTTGTTTTCCCTTTAAGTCACTTTTCAGTCTACATATAATGTCCCCTTCTGATGGGTATCCAGGTGTCTCTTTTTGGGTCTTCCCTCCCTCTTTTTTTTTTTTTTTTTTTTTTTTAAACAGAGTCTCACTCTGTCGCCCAGGCTGGAGTGCTGTGGTGCAATCTCAACTCACTGTAACCTCTGCCTCTCGGGTTTAAGTAATTCTCCTGGCTCAGCCTCCTGAGTAGCTGGGACTACAGGTGCCCGCCATCACACTGGGCTAATTTTTGTATTTTTTGTAGAGACACAGTTTCACCATTTCACTCAGGCTGGTCTTAAACTCTTGGACTCAAGAGATCTACCCACCTTGGCCTCCCAAAGTGCTGGGATTACAGGTGTAAGCCACCATGCCCGGCCTCCCCTCCCTCTTCTCCTACCTCCCACTATCTCCTCAATCCTTTCTACCCCCTCCCTCTGAGCTCCATCCTGGAGAATCACCAGAAGACCCTCAGGGTTCTAAGCATGGCTCCTGGCTTTACCATGGTGGGATGATGGCAGGCCCTAATCCTGCATCCAAAGATTTGATTCATATTCAGAGGGAGCAAGTTGATACCTGAGACAAGAGCTGACTCTTGGAGTCTTGAGGGATGCCCAGTTATTAGAGGTTCTTTTCTCTGCCTAAGTTGTGAACCAACTGATAAATAAGAGGAAGAGCCAGCTGATGGAGGCAGGGTTTCACCTTAGTGAGAAAGTGGATATTGGAGAATACAGCTTATAGCTATAGGCAAATAGGGCCCCTAACACAGAATACCAGAATTAGGCATTCTTACCCATGCTGAACTGTGGGAGGCTGCCTTTCATCAGGGCAGAACTTGTGCCCCAAAGAAAAAGGGAGGAAAAGGCACTCTCTTATGAATGCCCAGTTTCTCCCTCCAAACCCATCAGTCATAAGGTACTCTTCCCATCAAGGGAGGAATGAGTGAAGAGTAGGGAGAGGCCAGGAGTGTTACTCTTAGAGATGTCTCTTCCCGTGAGGAATCTTCAAGAAGGGGAGTGAGTATTTCCCTTTAACACATCATGTGACTTAGTAGGTAATGCTTAAAAATAAATAATTTTTTGCATAAAATCATCAGAATTTCTGGCTTTTTTTCACAAAGCCAGAAAGATCTGTCGGCACTGAGCCTGTGCTCCCACGTGGCACCACAATCCTGGAGCCGAGTTGCACCCATCCCTCTCAGCAGGTGTGTGTGATCTCGCTCATCAAGGCCCTATTGTATAGCTCTGGCTCTCTGATTGTGCTTATTTCTATTACCTGTCTGGTCCGTCTCGGCGTTTCAGTTTGCTGCCTCTGCTTTAAGTCTAGAGTGGAGTAGCTACAGGACCAACAGACCTGTCTCTTGCTACTGTTGCCCACTCCTACTGATCATTGTCTCATTTTGATGTGTTATGAGCTTAACAAAGTTTCAACGTTTTTATTCTGTCTTACTAGAGTTCTCTTCTATACCATAGACTTTGTGTTGGAGAAGATTAAGGAGGTGAAGGGAAAAGAAAATCCTGTTCTATTCGCCTATTAAATAAAGGAAGAAATGGGAGCCGGGAGATTAGGGAACTGATCAAGAAGTACTGCAGAAAGAAGACATCCATGCGGTCCTTTGCTGTCCTCTCTCCTACACTGCAGCGGTGGCCATTTTTGCTTCGCTGGGCTCCACGGATCTGGAGGAGCAACAGATCTGCACATCTGAATGTGAGTTTTGGAAGCATACTTTGCCTCCTTAGGGTGACAAATTCATCAGAAGCTCCGGGCTGATTGGACTCACAGCTGAAAAGGAGTGGTAATAACAAGAGGAGGTGTCAAGAACCTGTTTCTATAGCCTTCCTGCCACTCCTCTGTTTCTTCTAGATGGGCAAAGGGGTTAATTCAGGGAAGGAGCAGGGCAGTATGAAGCAAGCGAGACCTCCTTCACACATTTCCCCTGTCACCCCACCCACTATCTGTAGACATACTTGGACTGTCCTCAGAGACTTGGCATAAATCAGAGGGGAAGGTGGTTGCTAGGATAAATGGATGAATGGATAGACGTGTAGACCAATGGACTAATGGTTAATCCCAGAAAGTTTTGCAGCGATACTCTATGTGTTTGCAGCAGAAAACATTTTTTTTTCTTTTTTGAGGTGGAGTCTTGCTTTGTCACCCAGGCTGAAATTCAGCAGCACAATTTCGGCTCACTGCAACCTCCACCTCCCGTGTTCAAGAGATTCTCCTGCCTTAGCCTCCTAAGCAGCTGGGACTATAGGCATGCACCACAATGCCCAGCTAATTTTTGTATTTTTAGTAGAGGCAGGGTTCCATCATGTTGGCCAGGCTGGTCTCGAACTCCTGACCTCAGGTGATCCACCTGCCCAGCCTCCCAAAGTGCTGGGATTACAGGCGTGAGCCACTGCAGCCAGCCCAGAAAACATTTTAATTTGTTCTTAGAGTCCTACTTTTAACACCTGAGGTTCATATATCAAGGCTGGAAAAAACTTTCTGTCTTCAATAAGAAGGAAGTATTAATACAATGGAGATTAACAGTATGGGTTTAGGGAGCTACTTGCTTCTTTTTAAAAATATGTATAGAACAGCTGAAATGTATCATTTGCTTCTTTTTAACATCTCTGAGCTTCCATTTCTTCATGTATAAAATAATAATAGTAACTTTCTCAAAGACGGTTGCTATTAGAATTAACTAAAATACTTTTTGGAAAATACCAATAACTCTGTGCCTGGCAGACAGGAAGCACTCAGGAAATGATAAGTCTAATTCAATAGAAAGAATTTTGTTTTGGCTGGGCGTGGTGGCTCATGCCTGGAGGCCGAGGCGTGTGGATCACTTGAGCTCAGGAGTTTGAGACCAGCCTGGGCAACATGGCAAAACCCTGTCTCTACAAAAAATTAGCCAGGCATGGTGGCTCACATCCCAGCTTCTTAGGGGGCTGAGGCGGAAGGATCATCTGAGCCCCAGAGGTCAAGGCTGCAGTGAGCCGAGATCGCGCCACTGCACTCCAGCCTGAGTGACAGAGTGAGACCTTGTCTCGAAAAATATATAAAAAATAAAAATTAAAAAAATTCTGTTTTACATTAAGCACTCATTACATGCTTAGCTCTATCACGAGAATTAGTGTGTGGTGGTGGGTACTGACAAAATTTGGGGGGAATGGACATCTGCAGGGTATGGTGGTGAGATAAAATACAAGGACATACTGATGTAATCATAATTAAGCACGCTGACGTGCATTCTGGTGGGTGGTTGGAAGAGGAGAGCGCTCCTGTGGCAGGAGCTGTTGAGAAAGGGATTGAGTAGGAGGAAGGAAAGGGGGTGGGGGTGAGGGGATTCCAGGTAAGGAACAACACACCCAAAGGGAGGAAAGCAGGTATGACTGTGCGGTTTGCTGGCCACAGCAAGGGAGGAGATGGATAGAGTTATAGCTGCTTGTCCATTTAAAAAAAAATTTACATTTTTAGTTTTTGTGAGTATATAGTAGGTGTATTTATTTATGGGGCACATGAGATGTTTTGATTCAGGAATGCAGTACATAATAATCACATCATGGAGAATGGGGTATCCATCCCTTTAAGCATTTATCGTTTGTGATACAAACAGTTTAATTAGGTGTTTGTTTGTTTGTTTGTTTGAGATGGAGTCTCGCTAGGTCACCCAGGATGGAGTGTAGTGGTGCAATCTCTGCTCACTGCAAGCTCTGCCTCCCGGGCTCAAGCAATTCTCCTGTCTCAGCCTCCCGAGTAGCTGGGACTACAGGCACATGCCGCTATTCCCGGCTAATTTTTTTGTATTTTTAGTAGACGGGGTTTCACCATATTGGTCAGGCTGGTCTCGAACTCCTGACCTCAGGTGATCTACCCACCTCGGCCTCCCAAAGTGCTGGGATTACAGGCATGAGCCACCGGGCCTGGCCTAATTAGTTATTTTTAAATGTATAATCAAGTTATTATTGACTCTAGTCATCCTACTGTGCTATCAGATAGTAGTTCTTATTCATTCTTTCTAAATAATTTTTTTTTTGTACCCATTAACCATCCCCACCTCTCCCCACCCCCCCTACTATCCTTCTCAGGCTCTGGTAACCATCCTGCTGCCCTCTATGTCCATGAGTTCAATTGCTTTGATTTTTAGATCCCACAAATAAGTGAGAATATATGATGTTTGTTTTATTGTACCTGGGTTATTTCACTTAACTTGATGACCTCCAGTTTCATCCATGTTGTTGCAAATGACAAAATCTCATTCTTCTTTGTTTGTTTGTTTTTGAGACAGTCTCACTCTGTCGCCCAGGCTGGAGTGCAGTGGCACGATCTCGGCTCACTGCAACCTCCGCCTCCCGGGTTCAAGCAAGTCCCCTGCCTCAGCCTCCCGAGTAGCTGGGTTACAGGCATGCACCACTATGCCTGGCTAATTTCTTGTATTTTTAGTAGAGACAGAGTTTCGCCATGTTGCCCAGATTGGTCTCAAACTCCTGGCCTCAAGTGATCCACTCACCTTGGCCTCCCAAAGTTCTGGGATTATAGGTGTGAGCCACCGTGCCCGGCCTATAGTTTTCATTATAGAGATCTTTCACATCTTTGGTGAATTCCTAGATACTTAATTTTATATGTGGCTATTGTAAATGGGTTACTTTTAAAATTTCTTTTTCAGATTGTTCATTGTTGGCAGACAGAAATGTTACTGATTTTTGTATGTTGGTTTTGTATCCTGCAACTGTACTGAATTTGTTTATCAGTTCTAATTGATTTTTGGTGGAGTCTTTAGGCTTTCAGACTAAAGACTCCACCAAAAATCATATAGCATATCATTCTGTTGATATGATGTATCACTAATTGATTTGTGTATGATGAACCATCCTTGCATCCCAGGGATAAATCCCACTTGGTCATGATGAATGATGTTTCTAATGTATTGCTGAATTTAGTTTGCTAGTATTTTGTTGAGGATTTTTGCATGAATGTTCATCAGAGATATTGGGCTGTCATTTTCTTTTTTTGACATGTCTTTGTTTTGGTATCAGAGTAATACTGGCCTTGTAGAATGAGTTTGGAAGTAGTCCCTCCTCCTGTATTTTTCAGAATAGTTGGGTAGAACTGGTATTAGTTCTTCTTTAAATGGTAGAATTCAGCAGTGAAGTTATTGTAGGCTTTTTTATGGCTTTGATCTCGTTACTTGTTATTGGTCTGTTCAGGCTTTTTTTTTTTTTTTTTTTTTTTGAGGTGAAGTCACACTCTGTCATCCAGGCTGGTTGCAGTGGTCAATCTTGGCTCACTGCAACCTCTACCTCTCGGGTTCAAGTGATTCTCCCGCCTCAGCCTCCCAGGAAGCTGGTATTACAGGCTCACACCACCATGCCTGGCTAATTTTTGTATTTTTAGTAGAGATGGGGTTTCACTATGTTGGGCAGGCTGGTCTTGAACTCCTGAGCTCAAGTAATCTGCCCACCTTGGCCTCCCAAAGGGCTGGGATTACAGGCATGAGCCTCTGTGCCTGGTCTGTTCAGGCTTTTTATTTATTCCTGGTTTAAATCTTGGTAGGTTGTATATGTCTAGGAATTTGTCCATTTCTTCTAGATTTTTCTATTCATTTCTTTTTAACCCATATGCAGGAAACTTTTCCTAAGAAGCTGCCTCCTCACTAGGTGCTTCTGATTGAGTCCTGCCACCTGCTGACATTTTATCTGGCTTAATTACTTAAACCTCTCTGAGCCTCAGTTTCTGCTCTGTAAAATAGGAAGAATTCTATCCATTTCATTTGATATTGTGATGTTAATGTGATTGCAAACATGGAGGTCTGTGTAAATCGTAAAGCACTGTACAAATGCAGGTTCCAGTTGTTGATGGCTTCTCACCTAGCAGTGGCAGGGAATTGTTTAAAACATGAAGCAAATTATTCCCCTGCTGAAAATCCAGGCCTCTTACTATGGCTTACTAGACCTTATACAACCTGGCCCCAGGCGCCTACTCCAGCCTCATACTTCTCTCTCCTTTGTTCACCATCTTCCAGTCACACTGGCCTTTCTGTTCTACCAAGGGCTAAGCCATTCCTACTTCAATGCCTTTGCATTGTCTGTTACCTCTCCCGGGAGTCCATGGCTGGCTCCCTGTTTTAATTTAGGCCTCATCTGTGATGCCATCTTCTTAAAGAGCCAGTCCTGGGCCATCTGATCTAAGGTACTGTCTACCCCATCCCAGCCCCGGCTCAGCTTGTTTCATTTTCCGCATGGAGTTGATCACTGTCTGAATGTGCCTTGATCATTTGTCATTTACTTGCTCATTAGCCGTTTCCCTCTCCCCCCAACATAAGTTCCTTCTAAAGGATTTGGTGAGTCTTGGTCACTACTCTACCAGTATATCAAATAGTGCCTATCACCAAGAGGTGATCCAGAAATATTTTTTGGGCAAGTTTAACTACAGCCCCCGTCACCTCCCAACACTTTTCAACAAAAGCTAACAAAGTTTCATTCATGCAAAAAATGTTTACAAGTCACCACAGACTTCTAAAATGGGAGCGTTTTGAATTATGTCACACTCATTTAACTCCTGCTACATTTAAGAATCAGGAATCCTGAGTCAGAATATGACCAAGAAGGAGCCAACAGAATAAGTTGGCCTGTCCATGGTAGCACCAATCAAAGCAAAATGCCTCAAGCTTACCGATGCAGGGGCAGACAAGGATGGGGCCGTTGGCATTTAAGAGGAAAATGGTGGGCGGCAAGTGGGATTCTTAGGGCAACAAAGCCAAGGGGGTCCAAGGAGGCCTTTGCTGGAATTGGCAGGCAGTGACTGTTTAGTGAGGTAATTTGTGCCTGGCTGGCTCTGCCCACAGAGATGTCTGTCGGAGGGAGGTGTTGGCAGATCCACGATGTCCCATGGCTCAGCAAACTGCTGCCACTGCTTAATGAGCCAATCAGCCATTAAAGGGCCTCCCGTACAATGGCAGCATTTGCAAAGTGAGCAGCTGAAGGAACATTCTGGAGAGCAGAGGAGTTGAGTGTTGACCAAAACCCTCCATGTCCTGCCCACTCCCCCCAGCTCTTTGCCCTTAGCTCCTAATACTCTCCCCTTGTTCACTCTGGCTCCAGCAGGGCTGGCGTCCTTACCTTCCCTCCAACCCACTAAGCCCATACCTATCTCAGGGCCTCTGCACTGAACGTTTCCTCTGCCTGGAACTCTCTCCCTCAGATGCTTGCCCGGCTGACTTCTTGACTTAATTTATGTTTTTGCTTCAATCTGACCTCCACAGAGAGGCCTTTTTAGCCTGTTTAAAAAGAGCCTGTCTAAAAAGAGTAACTTCCCTCCAGCCACACTCAAGTTTCTTTCCCTCATTTATTTCTCTTCAAATAAACCTGACAGTTTATTGTAATCTATTTGCTTATTTGCTTATAGGTGATCTCCAATCCACCTGCCACTCTGCTACTTCCCACAGTCTAGTTAGTGTAAGTTTCTGGAGGGTGGGGACCAGGTTTGTTTGTCCTGCTTAGTGCTGTATGCCCTGAGAACCATGCCTAACTCAGAATATCAATCGCAAGTATCTGTTGAATTTGTTGAACAAATGAATGAATGAATGAATGAATGAATGAATGAGATAAAGTGCAGAGCACGATGGGCTGGGTAATGGGGGGCACTGAATACCATAAATGGGTACAAATGGGCAAGGGGTTTTAAGAATTTGTTAGGACCCAGGCACAGCCACATCCCACACTAAATATATATATATACACACACATATATGTATGTGTATATATATATATATGTATATACTTTCCCTTTAGAAAAAGTAGACAAGATTTTGATAATTGTCATCTTTAAAATTATTTATTACACAAATACTGCATGTTCTCACTTATAAGTGGCAGCTAAATAATGAGAACACATGGACACGAAGAGGGGAACAACAGACACTGGAGCCTACGTGAGGGTGGAAAGTGGGAGAAGAGAGAGATCAGAAAAAAAAAAATCTATTGGGTGTAGGTCTAGTACCTGGGTGATAAAATAATCTGTACAACAAACCCCCATGACATGAGCTTACCTATATAACAAACCTGCACATGTACCCCTGAACCTAAAATAAAGGTTAAAAAATTACTTGCTTACAAATACATTTATTTTACAATTGGCTGGAATGATGCAACAGTCACCATGCACATTCAGAAATTATTTCAAAGTGATTTAAAAAACCCTAAAATTGCCGGGTGCAGTGGCTCCCTCCTGTAATCCCACCACTTTGGGAGGCCGAGGTGGGCGGATCATGAGGTCAGGGGTTCGAGACCAGCCTGACCAACATGGTGAAACCCCGTCTCAATTAAAAATACAAAAATTAGCTGGGCATGATGGCATGTGCCTGTAATCCCAGCTACTCAGGAGGCTGAGGCAGGGCCTCCGGAGGCGGAGGTTGCAGTGAGCCGAGAACGTGCCACTGCACTCCAGCCTGGGCAACAGAGGGAGACTGTCTCAAAAAAAAAAAAAAAAAAACCCTAAAATTATTTTCTACTGAGATGAAATTACAAAGTTTAACAAATTAATTTTTTAAGGCATTGTTGGAATATTTATTAATTTCAATTCTTCTTTTCATATTTTGGTATCAGTTAAAACATATTTTTCAGGCCTAAACTTTATCCTGGGACTTAATCTGAAAGAGCCTGTAAGCCCTGAGCTTTGTGCCTAAAGCCTCTGGTGACTGAAGGGGCCTGGGGAGGGAGGACCTGTGTTTGGGGAAGATCCTGACTGGTGGTCAGGAGGGTCTGCAGCTATGGGAACCCCTCAGGTGATATCACCTCCACCCAGAGGGAGGAAGCTGGGGGTCTGGCAGTGGGTACTGGCAGCTGGAATGAAGGGAGGGAGGTGAATGCAGGAAAGAGTCCAAAGACAGGGACACTTCCAATCCAGGAGATAAAGGAACTCTAGGAGAACAAAAGGATGGTTGGTTTCAAATCCCAGGGGGGTGGGTTTGGGGGAAGAGGATAGGTGGGGTTTGGGATATATTAATCAGAAGGGCTGGGGTGTCATTTTCCTTATCTGTAAAGGGGACATATGAGGGCTCTCTGGAGAAACAGAACTAATAGAAGATCTATCTATCTATCTATCTATCTATCTATCTATCTATCTATCTATCTATCTATGTAATGAATGAGATAAAGGCCTGAAAAGAATAAATACAGGTATATATTGAGGCCTGAACAGAATATATATAGATATCTATGCATATTGAAGGCAGACAGGCAAGCGTTCCCTGTTGCTCTCAGGATGGTCCATCTTTTTGTTCTCTTCCGGCCTTCGACTGATTGGATGAGGCACACTCGCACTGGGGAGGGCAATTTGCTTTCCTCAGTCTACCAACTTAAATGTTAATCTCACCTAGAAACACCCTCACAGACACACTCGGAGTAATGTTAGACCAAATATCTGAGTACCCTGTGGCCCAGTCAAGTCGACACATAAAATTTACTCTCGGCCAGGCATGGTGGCTCACGCCTGTAACCCCAGCACTTTGGGAGGCCTAGGCGGGCAGATCATGAGGTCAGGAGATCAAGACCATCCTGGCTAACACGGTAAAACCCCATCTCTACTAAAAATACAAAAAATTAGCCGGGCGTAGTGGCGGGCGCCTGTAGTCCCAGCTACTTGGGAGGCTGAGGCAGGAGAATGGCGTGAACCCGGGAGGCGGAGCTTGCAGTGAGCCGAGATCCCGCCACTGCACTCCAGCCTGGGCGACAGAGCGAGACTCCGTCTCAAAAAAAAAAAAAAAAATTAAGTCTCATGGGTGTTGGGGGTGGGAGAGTAATACCACCTATCATGTAGCATTATGAGAATTAACTATGGGTATTAAATACTTAGCACAGCATCTGGTACATAATGAGGGCTCAACAGTTGGTCACCGTGGTTATTAATTTTATTAAAACAGAAATTTCTGGAAGGTGATTCCCCTACTAAGATATGAAAGCATATTTACAGCAGTGCAGTGCCTTTTCTGTGTAAACACAGAATAAATATTTGTTGGATTGTTGAGTTTACAGAAAGTCTTGTCAAAAGTTGAAAAGCTCACATATTCCTTCCTGGGATACTGACATTGCTCAGATTATTTATTTGTGTGGGCCACGAGCAAGCCCAGTTCTCACAAGGCCCTAAAAAAAGCACAAGATAATCATTACTTTGGGCCCTCTAGTGCAAACTTCAACTCAGGAAAGCACCAGGCCCAGGGAAAAATGTGGCAAAGTTGTTGAACTCCATGTTTGATTACAGGCCTCTCACAGCTGATAAGATGCAGAGCTTATTCCAGGACTATAGGACTCAAAGAGCAAGATTTTACCCACTATACTTCCTTCCTATGACATAAACTTAGTTTTGTCAGTTCTCTCACCCATCCAACTAGGAGAACAATATCCATCTTTTCCACTCCTTTGAGGGCATTCCCAGGACAAAAAAATTATGCACATGAAGCATTATATAAACTCTGGAGAGCTACATAGTTAAGAGATTCCATTCAGGGTATTATTCTAATCAAGGGCAACGTGGTCAACACATGCATACATTCCTGCATTCACATAACTTTATTAAGCACCTACTATGTGCTGAGGACCATGCTAGGCCCCTAGGCAGTGTGGGGTGGGGGCTGGGGAGTAAACGTGACACCCACTCTCTCCTTGGGTGCTTTCTCAGCAACGCCTTCCCTGCTTCCCACAGTCCTGGATGGGATTCTTAGCAAATCACTCCTTCAGAACTTTGCTCCCTTTCTTTGTAACATTTGATTTGGTTTGTTGTTCTGTACCTATTTTAGTAATTCTTTAATTAATGTATGTCTCTACCACTTAGATCTTAAGCTCAGCCAGGGCAGGAATCTGCAATCTGCCTGGTTTTGCTCACCGTGATAGCCCCATGCCTACCACAGTGCCTGGCACACAGTAGGAACTCAGACACAAGTTGTTGAATGAATATATGGATGGATGGATGGATGGATGGATGGATGGATGGATGGATGGATGAATGAATGAACGAACGAATGCTTTCTAAGTGCCCAGGATATAAAAAGCTAGACAAAGTAACTTAAGGCTCAAATATGCGTGATAGTCATGACTGTTCAATATGACTTCGGACCAAGGAATTTGGACTGAAATGCTCATTAGAGAGCAACTAAAAGCCAAAGTCAGCTATTCCCTTTGAACTAGGTATGACAAAGTTGGGACTGGATATTATCTTCTGAAGCAGCTAACTGTTACATGAAGACAAGGGAGTGGGAGGTCTCCTGGGCCCAAATCAAATGCATCAAAGACCATAGTGTCCCTTCCCCAGATCCCAGATGTTCACACAACATGGCCAGAGAGATTAGTACTGGTCTTCCTGTGGCTCCCTGATGCTGCTATCCAGCTGTTATCTGGCCCAACCTGCTGCCAGGCCTTGGGGAGGCTGAGCCACAGCCCTGCCTCAGAGGGGCCCTGTCATCTTTCCATTAAAGCTACCTCCATTACTTCTAGTGACGGAAATGTTCTACCAGCTACAGGGCATTGGGGTGTGCTTAGTCTCCAGAACCACCTCTCATTAATCAGCCACCTCCAACCATTTTGGTGCCATAGGGGCAGAGATTCACCTCCGTAACAAAATATATGAAACTTGGATGGTGTTTCCTGTTAAACGAATGAGTCTTCTGATTTCTTTGATCTCACCCTCCTACCAGACAGAAATTGATAAATGGGGACATGTTCCAATGAGAGTGACCAGCCTCATGGACTGGACTCACAAGCATTCTGGATGGAGACATCTCGGAAGGAATATACCAACTCTTTTGTAATATTTGATGAGTTTCCACACAGAAGCAGTGTTAGACCTAAATTTCCTATGGTTCTGGAGAGCACAGCAAAAACTAAATGATGGCTCCAGAGCAACAGCATTTAATTCAAATAAAAGAAGAAATCTCTATCAACCAGAATGATCTGAAAACGAAATGGACTACCTAGTTGAGTAGTGAGTCTCCTGTCCAAGCCTTACCTGGGTATGAGTTGTATATTTCATTCTATTACACATATAATAAGGGACGTTTCGTAGGTAGGCTATTCCTGAGGAAGGTCTGGACACTGAGAAGTAGGGAAAAGGGATACTCTAATACAAATAAAAATTAAACATCATTAGTAGCTCCCTATGTGGGTAATGAGCACTTCCATGTACCAGCACAACAATCCTGTGCAGTGAGTCCTATAATTACCACCATGATACAGGCAAGGAGACTGAGATGGAGACAGGTGTGTAACTTGTCCAAGGTTGCACAGCGAGGAGGTGCAGAGCTGGGACTCAAATCCTAGCAGCCAAACTACCACCCATTATGCCAGAGTACCCGCTCCATTCCTACTTCCTCTCTACCTCCCCAGTCCCTTCTATTATAGTATAAAACGACTAGAGCTTGAAAAAGAGATTTCTGGACAGGCACGGTGGCTCACGCCTGTAAATCCCAGCACTTTGGCATTTTGGGAGGCCAAGACAAGAGGATTGCTTGAGCCCAAGAGTTCGAGACCAGCTGGGCGACATAGTGAAAACTTGTGTCTACAAAATAATAATAATAATAAAAATGCCGGGCACGGTGGCTCACACCTGTAATCCCAGCTCTCTGGGAGGCCGAGGCAGGTGGATCACTTGAGGTCAGGAGTTCGAGACCAGGCTGGCCAACATGGTGAAACCTTGTCTTTACTGAAAATACAAAAATTAGCTGGGCGTAGTGGCGCACACCTGTCATCCCAGCTACTCAGGAGGCAGAGGCACAAGAATCGCTTGAACCCAGGAGGCGGAGGTTGCAGTGAGCCAAGATCCTGCCACTGCATTCCAGCCTGGGTAACAGAGCGAGAACTTGTCTCAAAAAAAAAAAAAATTCTACCAAGAAAATTCATCAGAATGGGCCCCAAACTCAGAATAGTAACTAACAATTAAAAAAGACCTAAATCAGGGGAAATGACCATGCTTGAGTACAATTTGCAAATCACCTTGAAAGAGAGAGTATGTCTTCCAGAAAATCGAGAGCCAATTTTAAAACACCCACATCCTCTGGGCCTCTCCCTCCTCCCCAAAGTTTCTTCTGGCCTTGCTCAGGCAAAAATCCCTTTGCCTTCATTTGCATTGTTCTTGGGAGGGGGAGAGTGAGCCAGCTCTGAAGTCACTCCTCTGAGAAGAGAGCCAGAATCACACCACAGTCAGTGTGACCAGCGTGACCTCCGTGGGAATTTGGCTGAAGCATCCAAAATGAGTCAAATGAATTAATCAACTCTTCCCCTAGAGAATGCGGACACTTGATCCTTCACAAGAAAATGAGGATGCCCCACCCAGTGGCAAGAAATGAGGGCACTGGTTACCAAAAGGAAAATAGAAAAATGGGAAGAACAGTGTTTTAAAGTGCATCTACCTTGTTTGACCCTGAGCTTGGGTGGCAGACCCAGGTGGGTCTGCCAGGCCACCATCATTTGTCAAACTACATTCACCCTGGACATTCAGGAAGGCCCTAAAACTGAAACAGCATCTCCCAACAGCATCTGGAGGACCACAAAGAATTTCTGTGGGGCTACATCATTTTCCCCAGTGTTTCTCTATGCCTTGCAAAGCAGTTGATTATGAGGATCCTAGGCTCTTTTTTTTTTTTTTTTTTTTTTTAAGGGATGGGGGTCTCACTCTGTCTCCAAGGCTGGAGTGCAGTAATGCAATCATAGCTCACTGCAGCCTCAAAATCCTGGGCTCAGGGGACCTTCCTGCCTCAGTCTTCCAAGTAGCTGGACTACAGGTATGTACCACCATGCCTAGCTATTTAAAAAAATTTTTGGAGAGATGGGGTCTCACTATATTGCCCAGGCTGATCTTGAACTCCTGGCCTTAAGGTATCCTCCCACCTCAGCCTCCCAAAATGCTGGGATTGCAGGTGTGAGCCACCGCCCTCTGCCAAGGATCTGAGGTTCGTGAATATCCCAGAGCCCTGATACAATCTAGAGGTCACATTGTATTAACTTTTTCTAACTCCTTCTTCCTTTGAGCCACCTCATGAAGTGCCTACTTACTTGGGGTTTCCATTCTAGGCTGCAGGGGTCCTACCCATTCCCACATCATCACCTTTCCACCAAGGAATCTGAGGGTGACCTGGATAGTCATGATTTTTATTTAGCAAGACAGTGAAAATAATTTTCATCTCAATGAAATTTTAAGACCAAGCAGATTGTGCATAGCCCTCCTTGGCCTCCTGGGACCCCAGGCCACTGTGGCCCCACTAGCAGGGAGGAGAGGATGACTTTGCAATGTAAGGGCTATTCGTCATTAGAACAACAAGGCCAGCAGCAGCATGGCTCTGGCCTTATCGGAGCAGGAGGCCTCGCTGGATTCTATTAATTGCCGAATGCTGTTGGGTTTGGCAGATACAGGAAGCAGTTTACATGGCTACACAGTGCCCTGGCTCACAGTGTCTCTGAAATGGTATTATTGTAGTGGGATAATTGTGATTAGGGACAGTTCCCCGAGGAAGACCAGGCCTTTGATGATTGAGTCACTTCCTCTCTACTCTACTTCAGTGTGATAGCGTGGCTCGCCCCACAGACACACACACCCTTTGCTGGCCAGAGAGCCCTGAGTCCCACAGCAGGGTTCCCAAACCAAGAGCCAAGAGCTGCATCAGAGCCAGGATCATTGGAGAAATGGAAGCAGGCTAGAGACCACCCCCCACCATTTTTTTTCTTTTTTAGGTCATGATGACAAGCAACCTGGTTAATGATTTCAGTTGTAAATGTGTCCCTAACTCCTACGACAGCATGTGCTTTGGAGCTGGAGGAACCAGGCTCTATGTTTACTGGCTGTGTGACTTTGAGAAGTCCATTCTTTGAGCCTCAGTTTCCCCATTTGTAAAGTGAGGATGATAAGAGAATCTACCTCAAATGATCATTGTGGGGGTTAAATGGGATTACTTTAACGTTTGTAAGCACCTGATAAATGGTAACTATATTATTATTATTGCCATTGTTGTTATTGCCACTAAGTACTGCCCCCAACCCCAAGCAATAATTTCCTGAAGGCTGGATCGGGGTGCCTCTGCTTGGTGGAAATGCAGCCACCTCAGAGATGAAGGCTGAGGAGGGATGAAGCTGGCCTGATGAGAAGGCCTGGAGTAGAGCCACATCCCAGTCTCAGCTGCCTTAGGGGCCATTCCCCAGGCCTGAGCTCCCCGGGAATCAGAACCCACGTCTCTCTCTGTGCACTTGGCAGGCAGTCTCTAATCCTGCTGGGTGCTGCCGTATCACCCACTCTGCCCAAGGGCTTTTTGTTTGTTTATTTGTTTGTTTGTTGAGACAGTTTCACTCTGTCACCCAGGCTGGAGTACAGTGGTGCGATCTTGGCTCACTGCAACCTCCACGTCCGGGGTTCAAGCGATTCTTGTGCCTCAGCCTCCCTAGTAGCTGGGATTACAGGTGTGTGCTACCATGCCCGGCTAATTTTTGTATTATTAGTAGAGACAGGGTTTCACCATGTTGGCTGGGCTGGTCTCCAACTCCTGATCTCAAGTGACCCGCCCACCTTGGCCTCTCAAAGTGCTGGGATTATAGGTGTTAGCCACTACACCCGGACTGCCCAAGGGTTTTTATCCAGGACAGCCCCTCATGAGCTTCACTGAATCATGCATATTTCAGCCTCAGTCAGGCTTCTGGGAGGAAAACACCCATCTGTGCTCCTGGGTGGGAATAGCATTTGCCTAGACAAAGGACTCTGCCCTATTACTGGAACCCTTGAGTGGGCCCTGCAACTGCCTTGAGGTGTGAATGGGGCTGGGCTGAAGCAGGGTGGGGTTGGCCTGCCTTGGACCCTGCCTTGCAGAGGTTGGAACCAAAGCAGTGTGGCTGGCAGCATGTGTGAGCTCAGAGTCAGAAGTCTTGGGCTCATACCTGCCACTTACTAGTTGTGTGCTCTTAGGAAAGTCACTTTTCCTCTCAGAGCCTCAGTTTCTTCATCTGGTAAATGGCGATAAAAATACCTCTCTCAGAGCACTGTGGTCAGGATGAAATTAGATCTGTATGCAAAACACTTAGTGTAGTCACTAGCACGTAGAAAATGCTCAATGCTCAATATATGGTAGCAAAAGGAGGTAAGTTTGCCAAAGAGAGCACGAAACCCCACTGACAGGCTCTCAGCCCCAGACAGGGCAGATCTCGCACTGCCCCAGAAATGCTTCTGGGACCCAATGTGTTTCAGGAACTGTCTGCCAGAACCAGAGTCCCCAGACATTGGGAATATTCAGCAAGCTCTGTAAGGGCAGAGACCATGTTGATTTTGTCCTACATCCAGTACCAGTGTATCAGTTTCTTATGGCTGCTATAACAAATCACCACAACCTTAGGAGCTTAAGACTGTGCAAGTTGGCTGGGCACAGTGGCTCACGCCTGTAATCCCAGCACTTTGGGAGGCCGAGGCAGGTGGATCACCTGAGGTCAGGAGTTCGAGACCAGCCTGACCAACATGGTGAAACTCTGTCTCTACAAAAAACACAAAAATTAGCTGGGCATGGTAGCGGGTGCCTGTAATCCCAGCTACTTGGGAGGCTGAGGCAAGAGAATCACTTGAACCCCAGAGGCAGAGGTTGCAGTGGGCAGAGATTGCGCCATTGCTCTCCAGCCTGGGCAACAAGAGTGAAACTAAGTCTCAAACAAACAAACAAACAAACAAACAAAAACCCAGTGCAAATGTATTATGTTAAGTTCTGCAGGTCAGAGCCTAAAATGGGTGTCATGGGGCTAAAATCAAGGTGTTGATGGGCTGCATTTATCTGGAGTCTCTGGGAGAGAATCTGGAGGTTATCTGAACTCCTTGGGTCCTTGCTATTGTATAACATAGCATATCCACAGGTTCTGCGGATTGGAATATGAACGTTTTGGGGGAGCCATTATTTTGCCCCTTCCTCCAGCTTCAAAGTCAGCAGTATATATCTTCCAACTGGACTCTGATTCTTGTTTATAAGGACGCTTGTGATTGTATTGGGCCCACCTGGATGATCCAGGATGCTCTCCCCATCTCAAGGCCAGCGGATTAGCAACCTGGTTCTATGTGTAAACTTACTTCTCCCTCACTGTTGTATAACATAACATATCCACAGGTTCTGGGGATTGGGATTGGAATTTTGAGGGAACCATTATTTTGCCTGCCACACCTAGTATGAAGGAAAGTAGAGAAAATGCCAGATCAGAACACCGACTGTGCACTTATTTCGGACTGAGCATCCTGCCAAGGAAGGCCAGTGGATCTCACAGTCTACGCCAGGACACAAAGCATTCACTTGTGAGGATAGTCATGAGCACATTACAAGCTGTTACGACTTAGAGAGTGCTGACAGTTACAAAAGTCCTTAGGATGCAAAGAATCTCTGGTCAGTGCTCAACAAATTATTATATTTATTCAGCAAATATTCTGAGCATCAGTTAGGTGCAAAGTGCCAAGGAGGCAGAGATGAGTAAGATTACTATCCCTGCTCTCGAGGAACTTGTAGGCTCAGGAAAACCTCCTGGAAGAGGTAAGGATGGAGCCAGGATTGAATACAGGAGAAGGTTCAGGTGAGGGGAGAGCATGATGGTTGTGTGAGGTAGTACACATGGTGGTTTCGAGGGGAGAATCTGCAGCCAGGACTGCCTGGGTCTGGAGTCTGGCTGTGCGGTACACTGTGTGACCTTTGGCGAGTTTCTTAACTCCCTTATGCCTCAGTTGTCTCATTGAAAAGTGGTAATAATAATAGTAGTATTGTCACAGGGTCATTTTGAGGATTACAGGATTTAATATACGTGAAGTGCTTAGAGCAGTGCCTGGCACATTGCAAGCACCATGTAAGTGTTAACTAATATGATTATCTCCCTTTTATCCTTTTCTTAGTCTTACAATAGCAAGGAAGGAGTGAGGGATATTTCAGCAGGTCCTGGAAAGGAGACAGTTATGACAACTCATGGTCTCTGGTAAGAATGTTGGGGGTAGAATTTTCTGTTTTGAAATCTCCCAGCCAGGTGCCGTGGCTCATGCCTGTAATCAAGCACTTTGGGAGACCGAGGTAGATGGATCACTTGAGCCCAGGAGTTCGAGAGCAGCTTGGGCAACATGGTGAAGCCCCATCTCTATTAAAAACACAAAAAATTAGCTGGGCATGGTGGCATGTACCTGTAGTCCCAGCTACCTGGGAGGCTGAGATGGGAAGAGAGCTTAAATCCAGGAGAGAGAGGTTGCAGTGAGACTTGATCACACAACTGCATTCTGGCCTGGGTGATGGAGTGAGACCCTGTATAAAACAACAAAAACAACAACAACAAAAACCTAAAGTGAGAAGAAAAAAAAAGTTTTAACTTTTGGCTGCTGGGTAACAAATTGTCTTCATGCAGATTTCCTTATGATCTTCTCATATAAATGGACCAAGAGACACCGAGTTTGATCTGAGCAGCTACAACTTGCCCCAAGTAGGCCAACCTTAGGGTTGTGATGTGTGGGGGTTGTTGTGGGTTGGGGAGAATCAGGAGAGCCAGGAGCTCCAAGCCCAGGCTGGAGCAGGGGGCCCAGATTCCCTGGGAATACATCCCCTTCGGCCACTGGAATCTTTTACCAAACAGATCTGGAAACATCATCCTGGTCCTAAGTACTCACTCTTCCTTAAGCTCAGGGCTAATGGTTGATGAGTGAGCAAACGTCTCCGTTATCACAGAGGGCTAAAACTGGATTTGTTTAAAGCGTTTTCTCTTTGGAGGTGCAGTAATTGCTCTCCGATCAGACAGGAAGTCCTATTGCTCGAAAGGAGCCAGTGTTATCAAGAGAAAACACATCAGCGCCCGTCCTCTCGGGAAGGGAATTGTGAGTAATCAACAAGGCTCCTCTCCAGCTGGCCGTGGGGCCTTTGTTCAGACGCGACAGGTCAGGGAAAGTTTGAGCAGGCAGTGCTTTTAAGGGGTGGTGGCAATTCCAGTTCTTTCTCTTCATATTTTCCTCCCCAGGGGACAGGCTTTCCCCAGGGAAAGGGACTAACCTGGTACATTGTTCTGAAGCCATCAGACAAATCTGATTACATCACTCTCCCACTTGAAACTCTTCAAGGGCACCCTCGTTGCCTTCAGGATCAAGTCCAATTCCTTAATCTGGTCTATGAGGCCCTTTATCACCGGGGCTTGAGGGCACACCTCTCCCTCCTGCTGTATCTATCATCACTCCCAACCAGCTCTCTTCCTGGCCC
Organism: Homo sapiens; assembly: GCF_000001405.40. Taxonomy (NCBI): domain Eukaryota; kingdom Metazoa; phylum Chordata; class Mammalia; order Primates; family Hominidae; genus Homo; species Homo sapiens. Next base: position 33,937,064 of record NC_000011.10, on the reverse strand, counting down.
CCAGTCCGCTCAGTGCCTGGAATGTACTCTCATCATGCCTGGAGCACCATCTCTACATGCTGTGGTGTGCTGGGTCTAAGACACTGCCCATCCATTCAGAACACACATGCAGACATGAGAGGGAAGTCTTGTGAAAGTGGAAAAATGAATGAGACAGACCTGACTGTGACAAACTTCTGCAAACCAGCCTCCAAAACCCTAGTAGCTGATCTCAGCAAGGCTTTTTGTGTGTTATTATTCTAGTCTGTGTGCTTCTTGAGGATAGGAGAAACTTCCAAGACCTCCATGTCACTCACCAGAAGATACTACTGATGGTAATAATAAGACTGACAGTAGACGTTTTGTAAGTGCTACAACTAGTAAGTATCATTCACTGAGCATGTACCATAAGCCAAGCTATACTGAAGAACTGAAGACTTCATGTGTGTGCCTTATCTTATTTAATCCTCGCAATGACTCTATAAGGTAGGTTTTTTTTTTGTTGTTGTTTTTTTGTTGTTGTTGTTGTTGTTTTTTGACAGGGTCTTGCTCTGTCACCCAGGCTGGAGTGAAGTGGTGTGATCATGGCTCACTGCAGCCTCAATCTCTCTGACTCAAATGATCCTCCCACCTCAGCCTCCCGAGTTGCTGGGACCACAGGTGCATGCCACCACACACACTCAGCTAATTTTAACTTATTATTATTATATCTTTTAGGGATAAGGTTTCACTCTTTTGCCCATGCTGGTCTTGAACTCCTGGATTCAAGCAATGAGTTAGGCAAATATGCCCATTTTATAGATGAGGAAGTTAAGGCTTACCAAGGTGACCATTTGCTCAGGGTTATGCCGCTAACAGTGGTGGAACAGATACACATATCCAGGTTTGTCTAAGCCCAGACCCACCTAGAAGTTGAATTCCAGACCCATACTGCTTCCTACGTGTAGACACATGCATGGAGGGTCCAGGAGGCAGAGCTGCTGCAGGGCTGGGAGGCCCCAGGAAAGGCAGGACAGACATGATCAGGGTAGGGCGTCTTTTGTTTGGCTTTACTTCAAACAAAGACAACAGCAGGGAAACTGAAGCCCCCAGCTTCCCTTCTCTGAAGACCAAAGCAAGGCCAAAAATAGGAGAGACAGGAAACATTTGATCCCAACGTGTCAAACAAACATAAATATCCTGTCAATTTTGCCATCAGGGAATGTCTGAGAACAGCTGCCACGCAGGGGCTAGGTAAGAGGTCGGCCTGCCGAGCTGTGCCCAGCCAGGCCCTCTCAAGTTGCCATGGGTCTGGGGTCTGTTGTCACATTGGACAGCAGGGCATCCAGGATGCTTTGAGATTGCTGTTGCCAAAAGAATGCACCTTGCTGCCCTCCAACGACAGGAGGCCCCAGCTGCTGGCTCCACAATCCATCACTGTGTGCTCCAAGGCCCGGTCTCCCGCAAGCTGCTTCCAGATGACAGAATGCAGCAGAGAGGCTAAAGCAGGCCTGTTCCTGGAAGACACCGGACTCCTCTGATAGCCAACTTTGGCTCAAGGACTCCGTGATGGCCTTTCTGAGCCTTCCTTAGACTGCAGTACAGTCTAAGTTGCCTCCATTTCACCCTCCTTCTCGCTCTTCCTCACTCAGAGTCAGACCTGCCTCATGGGGCCTCCGAGGCTCTCTTAGCTTTTCCCAGCTCCCTCACCATTTTTCTCACAGGCATTTCTTCTTGTTAAGTCCTCACATGTTCAATCCTTTCCTGGGATCTGCTTCTTGGAGAGCTGCACTAACTCCGAGAACACCTAGTGGTTGCCTCATTTTATAGTTGAGAAAACAGAAGCTCAGAAAGGCAAAGGGGTCTTTGAGATGTCACACAGTAAACTCACGCAGGGCAGGAAATGGGTTTCCCAGCTTGCAGGCTAGACCCACTTCCTTTACATCACCTGTGTCTGGAAAGGGGTAAAGGGTGGGAGAGAAGTGATGAGCCATGTGTGAGCGTTTCTTCAAAGTAAGGCCCCTCACACATTCACTTGTAGCTTCCTCTAGATTGAGGGCCACGGAAGGCAAAGACAGTGTCTGTCTTATTCACCCATTTGTCCCAGACACTTTAGTCTCCAAAGCTTGGGCCCTTGCCCACACTGCTGCCTGACATAATCAATGCGACAGCACCATTCAAATGAGAGGGGTTTTTTATTGCTTTTGCAACTGGGGAAAGGCAAAGTAGATAGACAGACACCCACAAATGAGTGTGTGGAGAGCACATCAGAAGATGGCTAGGAAGGGGTAGGGATCTTCCCAATGGGAGAAAAGCCAGCATCAGCATTTGCCCAGGGACCTCTTCCTGTTGGGGCCTATGCTGACCTGTCAGGAGGCCTCCTACTAATTTCTTCTGCACCTGGCTAGGAGCGGGGGCTGTTTCATGGCTTCCATCATGCTAATTGCCACCATCTCCCCAGTGACACTGAGCTCAGTTCCTGATAAGGTGCTTCCTTAATAGTCTCCCATTTCCCTGCTGATACCAGAAAATAGGCCTGACTTGGCAGTACGTTAACAGCACTGAGCAAGGCAGAGCTGTCACACCCAGCCTCACAGCCTGAACCATTAGTGGACCTAGAATCAATAGTGTTCAGACAACCCTCGTTTCCCTGAAAGCATTCGCTTGGCACGTTTGCTGTTTATCAGGCAGTTCCTTTCTCAAATGTCCCACGGTCTGTGGCCCTGGCACCCAAGACTCTCCAACTTTCAGAAAGTGCTGAGGGGACTTCGCAAATTTCAGGCAGCATCAGCTTTCTCTCTTTGGAACAAAAGGAGAATAATAAGATTTGTGTTTGTCAGCACCAGCTTGTAAGTAATGACAGTTTTGGTTAAGTTTGTTGGTTGCAGGTAACAGAAATAAACTGTGATGGACTTAAGCAAAGTGAGACTTAAAGGAAAGTCTCTTCGGGACTCGGTGGGCTAGATCAGCACCAGCCAAGCTTCTTAAGATTCAAGTTCAAGGGAGTTCAATATCAAGTTCAAGTTCAAATTCAATATCAGTTGGGTCTAGTTTCAGTCATTTGCCTACCTTTTGGTCAAAGGAGGTTGGGGCAACTAGATGGTCTGTATCTAGCAAAGGTGAGTGATGATACCAGAAAGAGAAGAGAACAGATGAGGGTCTGGCCAAAATAATAGAAGCTCACTAGGTAGACAGCTGAGAATGTAGACTCAAAGGAGGTGCTGATGGCCTGGTGTATGAGGTAACTCAGGCCCCTTCTGGCCTTCAGACTTCTCTTCCAGACCTGTGTGAGGAGTAAATGATATACCCTGTGGAATGTGCCCGGCACTGGAAACATGCTCAGTAAGCAATAGCTAGTAGCCTTGGTGCCTGAATTACTGCTTTTGTAGCATAATTTTAAACACTAGACAAAGTTAAAGCACCTGGTGGAAAGCTGGAGGCATGACCTAATTATTGTCTTGAAATCCATGAAGAATTCTGATAAGTGTTGTGACCAGCACTTTAAAAATAAATAAATACATAAATAAAGATTGCTGCTAATATTAACAGGTAATAGGAACAACCTGAGATTTTTGAAGACTTGTGTGAAACACTAACGAAGAACTTGCAGCCTCTGAAAAGAACTATAGAAGAGCATTGTGGGCCCAGATTCTCAGCAGATATTGTTGAACAAAACAGAATTTTATCCACTTGGGATACCTTAGCCCTCTGGCAGCACCATCATACAGAATTTGGACTAACTGCTTGTTTAACAGCCTGGATCACCTTCTAGACGACCAGCTCCTTGAAGACGGAGGGTAGGGGCTGACATCTGCTCATTGCTATATTCTCGGGGTCCCACACAGGGTATGGGACACAGATGTGCTGAGAAAATATTTGCTGAATGAATAACAGAGGGTTGATAACCTTTCAAAATCACTGGTTTTTGCAAAGGGTTACTACAGCCACTGCAACCACATCTACCTGTAGAAACAAAATAAAATCAACATGGTGGCACTTTTGGGGCTGCGGAGCTGACCCCATAAGGTTTTCTTATCTTAAGCCTTGTACTGCTTATTGAAGTGGAGGGGAGAGAGAATGGAGGTGCTATCAGGGCAACTCATGACAGAGGTGGGGCCTGGAGGAGAGGAAATGGAGGGCAGAGGGCGGGGGTGTTAACAGGAAATTCCTGTGGGGACCCAGCGGGTGGGACTATTGCCAGGAACTTCATTTAGTTCTGACCTGGAACTGTGGACCAGGGTCCCTTCCTGACTCAAATGCCCATAGGCTGGAGGGAGGGAGGGAGTCTGACCCTATGCCACCCTCTCCCCCTGCCAAAAACATTCCATAGCAATGCAGGACATGTCAAAAGCCATTCTTGACTAAAGGCCACGCACACGATGAGGGAATAAATGCTATAGGCGTTCAGATGAACAGGAGATCACTGTGGCCGGAAGTGGTCAGAGATGGTAAGAAGTGGGATTCAGGTTGGCCTTATGTGATGGGAGAGATTTGCATATGTGGAGAAAAAGGAGCATAGGCAGGAGATAGAGCCCGAACAAAGCACGAAAGTAGAAAAGTACAGCATGTGCCTCTGAGGCCAGCGGTTCTTGGCAAACTCAGGAAAATGAGTAGTCAGAGAAAAGGTGAGACGGGGAGGCTGGGGTCAAGCCCAAGAGATCCATTAATGTCAAGTTAAATTGTTTTTGATTCATCCGTGTTGGATACAGTGAGTTCTAGATTTCTCTTCGAAGAATCAGTATGTCAGTATGTTCAGTTCTTTGTCCTCCATTTTAAAGTTTAACTTCCTCATAGTTTCAGTAAACAACCTTTTCCACCAGTTTTAATCAGTAGTTCACATCTGTTCCCCTGGTCACCTGCTCCGTCCTGACTCATCCCGGTCACCTGCTTTAACCTGAGTCACTCCTGGTCACCTGCTCTGACCTAAGTCACCTTTAGTTACCTGTTCCGTAACTGTCTTTCCCGCCAAACTGCTCACCCCACCACTCTGGCTCATACGCCTGCTCTCTTTAAAATAGTCAATCGGAATTAGCTTAGACTATGCGGTCCAACCCTAGCCAATAGGGGAGCAACACAGCTGTAGGGGCTACCTGCATCAGAAATAAGAACCCCTTCCCCTCCCTTGTTCAGGTGTGCTTTTGCCATTACTCCATCCGTGAGTCGCACCCTTCTATAGAAGTAAAAATTGCCTTGCTGAGAAAATTAAATTTATGTTCGAGTGCTATTTCTTTGTGGCACCGAGGAACAAGCATTTTGCCTCTAACAATCGTATATTTATAAGTACTACCTACATATGAAGTAATGAACAAATGAATAACTCATTATAAAAAAGAACAGAGGGTGAACAGGAAGGAAGGAGATGGCTCCTCTGCTGTTTGAATAATTCTGTCCAATCCAGCAAGGATAAAAGGCTTTAATAGCCTCCCAGGTGCTCCCCTCAATGCCTCTGGGCTGGCAAGCGCCTGTGAGCTGCCATCCACAACTCTGGCAGAGGAGGTGGCCAAGCTCAGACAAAATGTGCAGTAGCTTCTGGGGCATTGAGTGAAAATCTCTAGAAATCTTCTCTCTCCTATCAGCCAATAAAGGGGTTCAACCAAGTGGGTTATCTTGGTAACTTAAGTAAAATAGGCTTTTTATCTTGGGCTAATTTGGTGGGGGGGAGGCTGAGAAGATCCCTGCCTCCAAACTGCCCACACCATTCCTTGATCCAGTGGGGTAATGCCTGGAATTTCATAATCACAGCTTCATGTCTTAGCTAGAAGCTGTGATTGCTAGCATTGAAAGCTGTCATCAGACTATTCTATTCTACCCTACTGTAAATGAAGAATCTGAAAGCAGGTTTTGACAGGAAGGCTGGAGAGGGAAAGAAAGATGTAATCTGAGTACTTAAGGTGGAAGATTGTCAGGGTCACAGGGAGTGGGAGAGACAGCAATGAGAAGAGCTGGAATCGAGACAAACCTTGCCAAGGGCAATTTTGCTGAGTTCTAGCAAGGAAGGAATCCTAAGACCAGTCAGAGTGTCCAGTTATTAACAAAAATATTTCATATACTCAGTCCGATTATGGCATCAGCCAGATGATTTAAATGACTGCATTAGGCAGCTAAATCCATAATCGTTGGCCCCGCTAACACATAGGGAACTTGGCTAATCTTAACATTAGCAGGTTGCAGCGCCTCGTCAACAGCTGCCTGCTACAGAGTGTGACTGATGCTGTTCTCAAGATCCCAAGGAGGCCCAGGGAGTTCAGGAGGATGGAAGTGTTCATTCTTATTATAAAATCCCCTGAGAACAGCAGGCTGTTTAAAGGATCAGTGTGTGGGCCATTTTTCTTCTGAGGAACTTGCCTTACAGTCTCATGCTGCATATTTCCCGGTCATAATAGTTTGGAGAAAAATATTGCTAAATGGCTGCATAAACAATTTTAATTGGCCTGGGCTCCCAAAATGTGCTATTTTTGTTCTGCTGCCAAGCTTGCTTTTTTACTAGCTAATTATGCCCAGCATTTAACTTTCGGCAAAAAAACAGGAAATAGGGCATTCATTACTCGAGTGACAACTTTTCAACAAGCCCACATTTCAACATCCATTGTGTAATTTCCTCTCCCTAGCTTACAGTTAGTTGTTCCACCAGGCCTTTGGAAACAAACAGCTCCTTCAGTGGGGGCTGGTAGGGGCTTTATTCAAGTCTAAATGCTCTCCTATCTCCAACACAGGCAGAGGGACAGGCTTCCATGAGCCACCAGTGCCTATGGGGTGGGTCTCTTTCCTTGTTTGGGCTCCTCACAGAAATCCCCCAACTGGGGTTTCTGCTGGTCTCAATTTGCTGCCAGATTGGGCTCTATCGTCAGGAGCTGGGCTGTGCTTGTTGTTTATGTGGCACCCAAGGTGCCTGGGGAGTCAGGCAACACTCAGAGGGATGCTCTCTTGTCCCTTGAGGAATCCTAAGAGACAGTGAATCCCAGTTTGTTAGGCATTAACTCCTAGAAAGTGCTGTAAAGCCATGTCTTATTATATGATCCATTTTAAATGTATTATATGATCCATTTTAAATTTATTATATGAAAACATTGTATTGTAAAGTATACAACATACCTAGAAAGTACACAGCTTATTAAGTGTATAGCTCATGAATTTTCTTTCTTTTTTCTTTCTTTTTTTTTGAGAGGTCTCTGTTGCAGGCTGGAGTGCAGTGGCATGATCTCGGCTCACTGTACCTCTGCCTCGGGGGTTCAAATGATTTTCATGCCTTAGCCTCCTGCACAGCTGGGACTACAGGCGCCTGCCACCTTGTCTGGCCAATTTTTGTATTTTTAGTAGAGATGGGGTTTCACCATGCTGGCCAGGCTAGTCTCGAACTCCTGATCTCAAGTGATCCGCCCACCTCGGCCTCTCAAAGTGTTGGGATTACAGGCGTGAGCCACCGTGCCCGGCCTCATGAGTTTTCATAAAGCAAACACCATGCGACTACCATCCAGATCAAGAATAGGTTATTACCAGCACCCCAGAACCTCCAGCACTTCAAGAGTTCCACCTAATCACTGCTTCCTCTCTCCTCCCCAAAGTAACTGCTATCCTGACTTTTAATACTATAGTTTAGTTTTAGGTGTTTAAACTTTATATAAATGAAAGTATATAATACAGTTTATGAGAGGGTATATATTTTAATATTTGGCTTATTTTGTTCCACTTTGTTTTGTTGCTTATAGCTATACTTCATTCATTTTCATTATGACAGAGAATTCTCTGTATGCGTATAACACAAGTTATCAATTTTATTACAAATGGACATTAACGATTTTATTATAAATGGACATATGGATTGTTTCCAGTTTGTGGCTGTTCTGTTTTTTTGTTTTGTTTTGTTTTGTTTTTAAGAGAAAGAGTCTCGCTCTGTGGCCATAATGCAGTGGCAAAATTATAGCTCACTGCAGCCTCCAACTCTTGGGCTCAAGGGATCCTCCCACCTCAGCCTCCCAAGTACCTACCACTACAGGTGTATGCCACCATACCTAGCTAATTTTTTGTGTTTTGTAGAGATCAGGTCTCACTATGTTGCCCAGGCTGGTCTCAATCTCCTGGCCTCAAGCAATCCTTCTGCCTTGGTCTCCCAAAGTGCTGGGATTATAGGTGTGAGCTACCACACCTGGCCCGTGGCTGTTCTAAATAATGCTGCCATAAATATTCCTGTGTGTGTATTTTAGAGTACACGCACACACATTTCTGTCGAGCGTCAACTAAAAGTGGGCTTGTGGGTCATATACACAATGTATAAACACTCAATTTTTACAGCTTCAGCAAAACTAATTTCAAAAGGGTGTATGTGAGTTGCCATTGCTCCACTTCCTAACCAACACTTGGTATTGTCAGTCTTTTAAATTTTAGCCATTTAGGTGGGTGTGTAGTGGTATCTCAGAGTTGTTTTGATTTGCTTGTCCTTGACTATTAATGAGGATGAACACTTCATATGTTTATTAATGATTGGATTTAGAATGTGATAAAGATTGAAGAACCACATGGTTGAAGTCAGAAAAATGATACTTCAATGGAAGAGGAGATTGCCTAAACGTCCACCTTCCTGAAGTTCTGGTATTGACCAATAAGGAATTATAGAACCCTCATGCTGCACTTACAGCTGTGCTAGGCAATGTGGGAGAATCAAAAAAGCCCATTACCCTATGTGCAGTTCCTTGCTGTTCTCTCTAAGCAACATATCATCCGCATCTTTCTATGTAATTAAATATCCTACAACATCATATTTAATAGCTACATTGTATTCAATCATATAAGGTATTATTATTTAGCCAATCTTCTGTGGGTTCCAATTTTTCACCATTATTGGCAATGATATGCTGAAAATTCTTGTGGCTAAATCTTTGGCCACATCTGAGATTATCTGTGAATGCCAGCACACTTCAAAACTATGATACTCTGGGGGCAAACTGGAAAGCACATAGGGACATATACTTAATTAATTACTATAGAGACTGATGCTTTTTTTTTCCTTTTATGAGCCTACCTTTACCAAAACTTGGTGGCATTCCTGAGGGTGAGCTAAATGGATTGAAGGTGATGACAGTATCAGGGTGAATCCAGACACTCCAGTTCCTGCTTTGGCACCTTATTATGAAACTAATAATAATTATCATTGCTATTTATTGAGCACTTATTATGTGGGAAGCCATGTGTTAGGCACTTTATAACAGATATTACCATTTAATCTTCACAACCTTGTCATATAGATGCTATTATTTTTCTCACTTTTTAGGTGAAGAATCTTAGAAAGGTTGAGAACTTGCCCAAGGTCATCTAGGGGTGGTAGAGGAGGAATTGAAATGCAGATGTCTGACACTATAGTCCCAATTCTTAACCAGTATGCTAATGGTTCTCAACCTGTGTACTTTGGCATTCTGGAGTACTGCAAACCTTTTCTGGGCATGCTTCTAAATTTTATGTATCAAATGTATTTTGCTGCTGGGTGGGAAATGCTATGTGGTAGACTGATCTCCAAAGTGGCTCTCCTTCTTTCCTTTCCCCTATTCCCAGGTCTTTTGCAATTTCCTTTGCAGCTCCTCCCATTGAGAGGTGAAGACTATATCCCCACCCCTTGAACCTCATGATTTGTCTTGGCCGATAGAAAGCGGTGTAAATGACAATGGTGCTAGTTCCAAGCCCAGCTGACCTCGTGATTTGTCTTGGCCGATAGAAAGCGGTGTAAATGACAATGGTGCTAGCTCCAAGCCCAGCTGTCTCTTGCTTCTGTCGTGGAGGATGAGACATCAGGAGCAAAGCCAGGTCAAGGCCCCAGATATGTGAGACAGCCCAGAGCAGCCAAGGTCAGCCAAGCTCCCTAAGCAAACTGACAGTTGACTGTAGATGCATATGTGACCACTCTTAAGCCCAGTGAAACTGCCCCGCTGACCTGCAGACTCATGAGCAGAATGTTAACTGTTAGATGTTCCTGAAGTGCTGTGTTATTTGTTTCGCAGCACGATTGTGATGATAGATAATACATACTGCCGTGGCTATGTCCAATGCATGGACTACTAACCTGGTAGGTCATGAAATGCTGGATAGACTCGGGCACAACTTGGCTTCAGCACAGTGAAATGTCATGTTGCCACTTTGGAAAGTGTCTGTTTATGGAAGCACGTGAGACTTATGCTCCACGAGCATATGGGGACACAGTTTTATTCAACAGCCAGACTTGTGCTGTTGGGCCACTCAGGAATAGTGTGATGTCACCATCCCTTGCTAAATAAACTTTAAAGGGGCTGAGAGAAATAAAGTTTCATTTTGGTCACAAGTTACGTGTTGTGTTGTTCGCGTGCTGGTTACACTAGTTGAGTTGGATTTCTGTCCCCTGCAACCCAGAGTCCAGGTTCCACAGGTGGGAGCATTTGAAAGACTTCAGTGGCTCCCTTGCCACTTAATGCTTATGACTCTTCTGTGACTGACATGGGGCTGAGAAAGGACACTCCCAGGGCAGGCTGGTTGTTTCCTATGTCAGCCTCCTCATCTTATATGAGGGCCTCCTCCCGGAGCTGGCCCGAGTGTAGACCAAAAGAGGCAATGTTTCTCTGCAACAGGCCACCTTTGCCAACACCCCTAGGCTCCCAGCCTCTGGAACCTACAGACTGCACCGGCATTCCACTATCCCCCACTGTACACACCAGCTAAACAATGTTCCATACTCTTGGACTTTTTCTTATTCCTTTACACTCTTCTGTTTCAGTTATATGTTATTACCACGTAACAAATTGCCCCAAACTTAGTGACATGAAACAAGCACCATTTTTTTTTCTGTTCTGCAGGTCAGGAATTTGGAGAAGACATGGTGCGACGGCTTGTCGCTGCTCTCAGCTGTCTAGGGCTTCAACTGGGAAGACTTGAATAACAGGGACTGCAATCATCTGGAATCTTCTTCTTCCGCATGTGCCCTGTCCCTGGGCTGGCTTGGGCTCAGCTGGAACTGTTGGCAGGATGTCCACAGCATAGTGGCCTCAGGGTAGTCAGACTTTTTTTTTTTGAGACAGAGTCTTGCTCTGTTGCCCAGGCTGGAGTACGGTGGCATGATCTTGGCTCACTGCAACCTCTGCCTCCTGGGTTCAAGCAATTCTCCTGCCTCCTTAGTAGCTGGGATTACAGGCGCCTGCCATCACGCCCAGCTAATTTTTATATTTTTAGTAGAGACGGGGTTTCACCATGTTGGTCAGGCTGGTCTCAAACTCCTGACCTCAAGTGATCTGCCCACCTTGGCCTCCCAAAGTGTTGGGATTATAGGCCTGTGCCACCGCAGCTGGCCAGACTTGTTATATGGTGTCAAGATGCTCCAAGAATGAGTGTTCTAGCAGTGCAAGGTGAATGCTATGTGGCCTTTTATGTCCTATCCTTGGAACTCATATATTCCTTCACATCTCTTTTACTCTATTCTTTAAGACAGTCACAAACCTGCCCAGTTTCAAGGGGGAGGGATGTAGACCTCATTTCTTGAGCAGACAATTATTAAAGAATTTGCAGCCATGTTTTAAGGCTGCCATATCTTAAATGTATCTATCCATTTTTCCCAGTTGCTAAGATCCTTTATTTTGTGTAAGAATCTTTTCATGGCAAATTAAAAAAACAACTCATGCTAGCCTGGGGGAAAAAAGGCATGGATAATTTATTATAAGGATGCAGTGTTATCTCACAGAACACTCCCAAAAATGTCACTTAAGTCCTAATGTGTGCTCAGCGCCAGTGGGTGCTGAGGGGTTAGTGAGGCCAGGTCTTCCCTGCTGATGCATCAGCACACCTGGGCAGTGATGCTATTGCTCCAGAGGCCCTTAGGTGATGCCACTAATGGGAGGGACTGGAGAACTGTGGCAGGCCTGTCACAGAGCAACTGAAGAGGCCACAGTATGGAGCTGCTTGTGCCGCTCCCAGGTGGGGACTGGAAAGCTGGAGATCTAGGGAGGGCTGTTTGGAGCAGTGTTCTTCCATCCCTACACATTCCATCCCCACAGAAGGAATTCCCATTTCTTTCTAGAGGGTAAGCTTCTCAGATCTTTCTTCCTCTTCTGTCAGGCTGCCTCTGGCCATCCCAGCCTAGTAGATTTAGTCATCCATTGGTTTCTTGAGTGTGCCTTGCATTGTGACAGTGAACAAGACATTCAAGATCCCGAGAAGATGGAAAAATGCTCTGACCTGGGATCCAGCAGCCCTGACCCTGTCTGTTACTCTCCAAGTGACTTTGGACATATAGTCAATCCTCTCCCTCTGGGCCTCAGTTTCCCCATATGTCAAATCAGGGCCTTGACCTTGAAGGATCTCTAAGATCCCTTCAGAACTCCCAGAAGAAAGATGATTCTGGCATATTGAGAACTCCTAAAATTTCAATCCTCGACCTCAAGTTTATTTTCTGTCTTCTGCCTTACTGCTGGCTGGCTTACTCTTGCTGTAATTTATTTAACTGAGCCGTGCTGAGCAGTTTAGAACTGAGTTTGCATGAATCACTGTCCATAAAATCGAGTTAAGTGGATTTCATTCCACACGGCGCACCTGTGTATATACACAGGGAGAAGAAGCTGGATTTTCTTGGCTCTTCCAGCCCACTGTTAGAATTGCTTCTTTACAGATACAGCATTCACCCAGTATTTATAGTCCATTGTTATAACAGCCTCCTTTGGAGAGCTGAAAGTAAAGTGTTGGATGCAATTTTTCCTACAGATCATTTTATATAGCTGTCCTGTTTCTCTTTCTAGCTGGAAAAGCTGACATTGATTTTCTCTATTTTATCGCAGTTGGCAAATATCAGATTCAACTTCATTCAACAAATTTTCAACAAATTTTTATTGAGTGTTTTGTGAAGTCATACTGAGCTAGGTATAGGGGTGGAGGTTAAGGGAAAGTATCATACTCTTCAAAGACCCTACAAGCGGTGTGAAGTGTTAAGTAACAACTCAAATATTAAATAAACAACACAAGAGAATGTAGCTAGGCAGAAAATGGGAAATTTAGTGTGTTTGGTGGAAGGAGAAACCAACCAAAGTGTGTGATCTGGGGAGGATTATGGAGAGTCTGGGAGTGATGTTGAGCTTGTGAGGCTGATTTCTGTTTGCACCACTGCCCACATCTCGCCTCTCCCCATCCCCATCTGATATAACCTGCACAAGAATCATTTCAGTTCACTATTTTGTAAAAGGATATGATCAGAAAAAAAGAGTTGGAGTAAAGATGAGCATTTCTAGGAAGAAATGCCCAAAGGGTCTGCTCTGATGCTTGTGAAAATATATTTTGGAGCCAGAGTGAGGGATTATAAAGGGATTTATTTCATTTTGTAGCCCAGCCAAAAGCTCAGGCAGACTATGACTAAAATGGTGGTTTGAGGGACTGGCTGTATGGATCTTTGTTTTTATTTTCTATCCTGTTAAAAAATGCGCAATCTTTACTCTGCCACAGAAGAAACATTGCATGGTTTTTCTGGCTGTTTTCAAGTGTTTTGAAAATTCTATTCCATTTACCCTTTCTGGGACTCTGGGAGACATACTAGGGGGTCAGGGAGGGGCATGGTGGGGACTCACCCCTCCACTGACGCTATTTTTATGGACATAGGGTCTTTTTGAGAAAATTGAGTTGCTTTAAAAGACTTTAAGTTTTGGATTCAACTGTGTTTGTATCCAGGACACAAGCAAAATTTGATTTGCTTAATAGATTCTGTGGGTTGTGCTGTGTTGGGACAAGATATGCCCACATTTTCCCAGCTACCATTTGGGAAGCTTTAATACCCACATGGTGCTTTAGGCTGGGTGGTCTCTGCCTCTAAAGCCCCTGGATAGCACCACCTCTGCCCTGGAGGAGCAATGATTCAGTAAGCAATGCTGTCCAACAGAAATATAATGTGAGTTACACATGCAATATAAAAACTTCTAGTAGCCAAGTAAAAAAGTAAAAAGAAACAGGCAGGATTAGTTTTAACCATATATTTATTTGACTCGATACATCTAAAATATTATTTCAGTACACAATCAATATAAAATGGTAAATGAGCTATTTTGCATTCTTTTTTTCATATTCGGTCTCCAAAGTCTGATGTGTATTTTACACTATAGCATATCTCAATTCAGACTAGCCACATCTTAAGTGCTTCATGGCTACATGTGGCTAGTGACCACCGTATTAGACAGCACAGGTCTAGAGTTCTCAACCGGTCCTTCCCTATCCCTTGGATCCCTGGATGGTGTCTTGTTTTAACCTTTGTTGGCAACAAAGAGCCCAACCCTTTGGATTTGACTAGAAATAGCTCACAACTTAATCCTCCAGCGATATAATTGTCTTCGTTACTCCCAGTGATGGAGTCTGGTGAATTTCCAGGGCCTTCCATTATGGCACCATCAGTACCCACCCCTGTTTATGCCACATTTACACCTTGTCTGTTCATTCCTCTAGCTCTTGCTAACCATTAATCTGCTTTCTGTCTCTGTGGATTTGCCTGTTCTAGATATTTCATATAAATGGAATCATGCGGTATGTGACATTTTGTCTCTGGCTTGTGAGACTTAGCATAATGTTTTCAAGGTTCATCCATGCCGTGGCACCTATCAGTACTTTATTCCTTTTTATTGAGGAATAATATTTCATTTTACGGACATACCACATTTTGTTTATTCATCTGTGGATGGACATTCAGATTGTTTCTACCTTTGGGCTATTGTGAATAGTGATGCTATGAACACTGGTGTACAAGTTTTGTTTGAATACCTGTTTTAACTTCTTTGGGGCATATACCTGCTAGTAGACTGAGTGGGTCATATGTTAATTCTATGTTTAACTGTTTGAGGACTGGCCAGGCCAATCTGTTTTCCTGAGTGACTGAACCATTTTACATTTCCACCAGCAATGCATGGGGGGTTCAACCAATTTCATCACATCTTTGCTAACTCTTTGGTTTCTATTTCTTGTTTTGTTTTTTTAAGTGTTAATTATAGCTACCCTAGTGAGTATGAATTGGTATCTTATTGTGTGTTTTTTTAATGCTTTTTTAAGTTTTTTATTTTATTTTATTTTATACTTTAAGTTCTGGGATACATTGCAGAACGTGCAGGTTTGTTACATAGGTATACACGTGCCATGGTGGTTTGCTGCACCCATCAACCCATCATCTACATTAGGTATTTCTCCTAATGCTCTCCCTTCCCTTGCCCCCCACGCCCCGCCAGGCCCCCGTGTGTGATGTTCCCCTCCCTGTGTCCATGTGTTCTCATTGTTCAACACCCACTTATGAGTGAGAGAACATATTGTGCTTTTTTTAATTGGTAAACTTAATTTTTTTAGAGCAGTTTTAGTTTTACATAAAAATTGTGTGGAAAGTACAGAGAGTTCCCAAATACCCCGTCCCCACACATGCACAACCTCTCCACTGTTGACATATGCACCAAAAGTGGTACATTTGTTGCACTTGATGAACCTACATTGACACAGCATAATCAACCAAAGCCTATAGTTTACATTCAGGTTCAGTCTTGGTGTGGGATATTCTGTGAGTTTTGACAAATATACAATAACTTGTATCCATCATTGTAGTATCATACAGAATAGTTTCACTGCCTTAAAAATCGTCTGTGCTCTGCATCATTGTGGTTTTGATTTGCATTTCCCTAATGACTAATGGCCTTCAGCATATGTCTAGCGGTTTTTAAATAGTGCCTTGAGAAGCCCCCTGAGGGGCCACTGTGGAAAGGAAGAGACAGCTGAGCGGCAGCAATGGTGTTCAAGACTCCCACCCACTCCCCTACCACAGTCACGCCACTTGCATCCATTTGACATGTTTGACTTCTCATGAAATATTCCATTTGAGCAAACGGTTCTGAGGCTTTCATAAGTTTGGCAGTCACTTCCTTGGGCTTGTGTTTTCCACATCTTCACTTGGCTAGTGAGATTGGAAACTTCCAGCACCAAGAGTGGAACCCTATTTTTCTGACTTCTGGTTCCATTCTCTTCCAACTATACCACCCTGTCAGTAAAAACAACAACAATAATGACAATTACCATGTATTAAATGCTTATCTTATGGCAGGCACTGTGGTAAGCACTGTCATGTAACCCTCTCATAACATTGTGAGGGCCATGCATTTTGAGACACAAATCACATTTAGAAATCTTCACCATAGGCTGAGCACGGTAGCTCACGCCTGTCATCCCAGCACTTTGGGAGGCCGAGGCAGGCAGATTGCTTGAGCTCAGGAGTTCAAGACCACCCTGGGCAACATGGTGAAACCCCATCTCTACAAGAAATACAAAAATTAGCTGGGAATATTGGTATGTGCCTATAGTCCCAGCTACTCTGGAGGCTGAGGTGGGAGGATCACTTAAGCTTGGAAGGTTGAGGCTGCAGTGAGCCAAGATCACACCACTGCACTCCAGCCTGGGTGATAGAGTGAGACCCTGTTTCAAAAAGAAAAATCTTCACCATCACCTGCAAGACCCCTCTCCAACCTCATGCTGCTCCTCTTCCACTCAATGACTCTACCCCAGCTCCACGACATTCCTGCTGTCCCTTGTGAAGACCCGCGTGTTCCCAATCTCGAGACCTTCTCATCACTCGGCTCTCCTGTCCTCCTTCACGATAAACCTTTATTTTGTATAGTTTTCATGGATCTTTCAATAACAGGTTACTGAGTTTTCTCAAAAGCACCTGTAGTAGGAATTTGTACCTTCTTTTGAAATTAAGAATGCCGAGTCTTGGCTAAGTAAAATCAATTGCTCAAGGTCACACATTCCCACATTTATGTGCTCATTCATTTTTTTAAAAAAATGTTTTTAAACCTATATTTTGTGCCAGGAACTTAGATAGGTGTTATGTGGGATAAGAAGATAAAATATTAAACAAACAAACAAACAAAAATACCCTGTCCTCAAGGAACTTACAGATCAATAAGACGGGTGAGATAGGAACATAAATATCTATAATACAAGGTAATAATTTGAAGTGCTACATACAATAATCATGCACATGTGCAAAGATTCCATTAGAAGTAGATTCAGTTGCATACCAAGGAAAATTCCGGTAACAGAGGCTTAAGTAAGAGAGACATCTATTGATCTATTGCTTTGTCACATAAAGGAGGTCCAGGGGTAAACATCCTGACTCTGGGGACATCAGAGATCCAAGCTCTTTCTTTCCTTTGCTCAATCACCTTGAGCAGAAGAAAGTGGAATGTGCAGAATGGAAGTGTGGTTTCCATTTGAATGGTTCAAGATGGCACTGGACCCCTAGCCACTCTGCGTGCATTCCCAGCAGTAGAAAGAGGAAGGGGAGGGCAAAAACAGAGCACTTCCTGGCTGAGTCAGTTATCTCTGAACAGCCTTTCTTGAGGTCCCACTTACATTTCTACTTAGTTTTCACTGGCTGATGTATTCACCTGGCCTCAGTACATTGCAAAAGAAGCTGGGAAATGAAATTTTTTTAGCTTATCTTTTGTCACACCAAGTAAAATTGGGGTCTCATTCCAAAGAATAAGAGGAGAATGGATATTTGAAGACACTGAGCTGTCTATCACAGACATTTATTTGAAGCACTTTTTAATGTTAAAAATGTGGAAATAACATAAATATCTAAAATAATGATCGGCTCCATAAATTAATTGATTTATTAATATCATGCATGCTTAAATATTACATTTTAGAAGAACATTTAATGACATAGGAAATGTTTATGATACTATGTTAAGTGAAAATAATAATTACTACTATTCTAGGAAAACAATTAAGATATTATGTAAGAACCATAAAAAAGGAGCAGCTACATCTTGATATAAAAAATTTATAGTACTGTGGTTATCTTTTTTTTCTTTTTTTTTTCAGACAGAGTCTCACTCTGTTTCCCAGGCTGCAGTGCAGTGGCATGATTTCAGCTCACTGCAACCTCTGCCTCCCAGGCTCAAGTGATTCTCTTGCCTTAGCCTCCCAAGTAGCTGGGATTACAGGCACCTGTCACCACACCCAGCTAATTTTTGTATTTTTAGTAGAGATGGGGTTTCGTCATGTTGGCCAGGCTGGTCTCCAACTCCTGACCTCACGTGATCCACCTGCCTCGGCCTTTCAAAGTGCTGGGATTACAGGCGTGAGCCACTGTGCCCAGCCAGTTGTGGTTATCTTTAAAAAAAGAGTTCTTGGCCGGGCACGGTGGCTCACTCCTGTAATCTCAGAACTTTGGGAGGGAGAGGTGGGCGGATCACCAGGTCAGGAGTTCAAGACCAGCCTGGCCAACATAGTGAAACCCCATCTCTACTAAAAATACCAAAAATTAGCTTGGCATGGTGGCAGGTGCCTGTAATCCTAGCTACTTGGGAGGCTGAGGCAGGAGAATCGCTTGAACTGGGAGGCGGAGGTTGCAGTGAGCTGAGATTGTGCTGCTACACACCAGCACCTGCGACAGTGCGAGACTCCGTCTCAAAAAAAAAAAGAGAGTTTTTATCATTTACAGACATATTTATGGATGAAGTCATATGATGTCTGGAATTTGCTCTATAGTGGAAGAGAAAGAGTGAGGGAGGGGAGTATAGGTGAAACCAGAATGGCCATCTGTAAATAATTATTGAAGCTGTGAATGGATAAATGGAAATTTATGGTCTTATTTTCTTTTCTTTTATACATGTCTGAAAATTTTCATAAGAAAAGATTTTTTAAAAAATGGATTAAGTACCAATCACTCATCCTCTGTCTCATTTTTAAATGGACTAATAACACCTATCACACAGGAAGAGTGAAGATTAAGCAAAAAGATAGGGTATATGAAAATACTTTGAGCTGAATAAAGGTGGTCAGAAATGCCTGTTACTCCCATCAGGAGGAGGCTGGCATAAAGCAAGATTAGGGTGAGAAGCCAGGATCTCTGACTCTTTACTCTGGGGTCTTGCACTCCCCACCTGGCCTTCCCTCCTCATTCCCCCAAGGGTGGCAGGGAGTGCCAGGGTGGCTGGATGCAATGCACAGCCAATGGTGAGGCAGGTTCCATTATCAGGCCTCTCAGGCCTCTGACGCCACCCCTACAGGTACTGACTAGGCTACTGTATGCACACAGGCTGCCTTCACTGCAGCAGGCTGGATCACAGTCAAGATGCTCCATTAACTGGCTATGTGGTCTCAGGCAAGTGAGAGCTTCAGTGCCCCTTCTATTCAAGGAAAGGATTAGATCCATTGGTTTCCAAAGAATCTTTCAACACTGATCTTCTCAAGGAACCCAGTTCTTTGGTTCTAGGACACTCTGCCCTGGATGTTTTTAGAAGATAAATATTAATAATATTAGTAAGAACATCTAGCATTTATTGAGTGCTAACTATTAATAAGGCATAAGACTAAGTACTTTGTAAGCTTTAATTTATTTAATTCTTACAACATTTATGAGGTAGGCTGTATTAGTCTGTTTTCATGCTGCTGATAAAGACATACCTGAGACTGGGCAATTTATAAAAGAAAGAGGTTTAATGGATTCACAGTTCCACGTGGCTGGGGAGGTTTCACAATCATGGAGGAAGGTGAAAGGCAGGTCTCACATGGCAGCAGACAAGAGAAGAGAGCTTGTGCAGGGAAACTCCCCTTTATAAAACAATCAGATCTGATGAGACTTATTCACTATCACAAGAATAGCATGGGAAAGACCCACCCCCATGATTCAATTACTCCCACTGGGTCCCTCCCACAACACATGGGAATTGTGGGAGCTACAATTCAAGACGAGATTTGGTGGGGACACAGCCAAACCATATCACAGGTCTACTATTAGCTCCCATTTACACATGAAAGATAGGCTCAGAAAGGGTAAACTGATCAAGGTCACAGAGCTGGGTTTCAAACTCAAGCAGTCTGGCTCCAGAGTCCAACAGGCAGGAGAAAGTAGTAGACTGCATGGCATAACTGCAGCCCTGTTCAGAAGGCTAGATCCATCCGACTGTTCCCACACTAAATTCTGAAGTCACTGACAAAGCTCTGAGTCTGTGAAACTCAGGAAAGAAGACCCCAGTACTTCTCCCAAGGAAAGAGAAGCCATTCTAGACATTCATTGTGCAGATTAGAAGGAATGGGCTTTCAATGCCCTACTTGAGTTCAGGAGACACTAGACTGATGATCAGTGGCATGGACCAGTTTGGTCTTCTGTGCTCTTTACAGCTGTTCTTTTGATTAGTCCATGCCTGTGGCATGCCAGTCATCAAATATTTCTAATGTCACCCTGGAAAGAAAGAAGAATGCCTTGTTTGTAAGGAGTTAGAAGTGGACAATCTTCTCAGAGGAGGCTGGGGATATTCTTAGAAAACAATAGCTCCCTGGCTTGGGCACATAAACAGGCTATGTGCTTGATGGTCCTTCAAAGTCCTGCATGGACCCCAGGATCTCATAAATACTCATATATTCTGACAAATTGGCTGCTCTCGTTTGGAAAAAAAATAACTCTTAACATCAGAAGTGTTCCTTAGTAGAAACATGTGTTTGCCAGTCCTGCTTCACCACTCCCTTCCTCAGTAACTCCTCACCTTGCTGTTCTTCTCTTCCCACTTACATTCTTGGTGAGACTTTCCATCAGGCACCTTTCCCCTCGGGCCAAGGGAAGGCCATGACTGGAACCCAGTGAGGCTGCTCAGATGTTTACTTGGAATACGAATCTTGAATCAAAAGACACAGAGAAAGCAGCGCAGATACATCCCTAAACAGCACCTATGAGAAAGCAGCCCTGGTTGCTAATATAAGACCCAGCTATTTGCTTTTTTCTTCAATTACACCCTATAGAGTGGAATTATTTTTATTTTCTAAAGTTATCCAGAGTCTATTTCTGTTTTCTGCAATCCAAAACCCCCCAACTCACACAGGGTTCGATATCTAATGTCAGTGTTTTTTTCTTAGAAGCTTTTAATCCTAAAAGACAGATCTTTCCTTCCTGGCCCAGCCTCCTCCAACCCCAGGACCTAAGTCCTTTCTCTTCCATTTCCTTCCAGAGCTTCCTGAGCCAGGGCGGAAAAGGGCTCTTGTCAATGTGCTAAGCTTTACCTTGAGGGATGAGTGAAGACACCCTTTAAATTACCTATAAAACTCTTTGATTCACTCAGCATAGGTTGCCATGGGCAATTTGCTAAGCTTATTGATCATTTTCTGTTTAAATTAAAGTTTGATGTCCCGGAACAGGCTGTGCAGTGCATGGAGTTAATGGAAAAGGTTGAGATCCAGGGGAGAGACACTCACTGTGGAAATGGAGGGTATTCAAGGGGAAAACAGGGAGTCTATGAAGAGGAGATTGTCAGCACCAAGTTGTGGTAAATATGATGGCGATAAAAAAGATAGAGAATGGGATTCTTTTATGGAGAAGGGCAGCTTCCCAGACATTTAAAGCCTCAGGGAGACAGTGGAAAAAAATGTATTCATTCCACAAATATTTGTTGAATGCCTATTATATGTCAGACACTGTGCTGGGCGCTGGGGAACAATAATGAAGGCACCATCGTTGAGTCTCAGCTCTAAATCAGTGGTTCTCAAAGTGTAGTCCCTGGTGCCGCTGAATCCCCATTGCCTGGGGCGGATGTTCAGGCCCCACCCCAGACCTACTGAATCAAACTCTGGAAGAGAGGCTCAGTCCCTTCCAGAGGAACCTGGTGCATGCTATAGTTTGAGAACCACTGCTCTAGATCTTAAGCCTCTGAGGAGTAAACCCAGGCTCCTGAGAACCAGGAGCTCAGCTTGAGTCAGTGTCATTATCACAAACATCTGTTGAGCATTTATCATTGCCAGGTATTATGCTAAGCATGACATGGGTTCTTTCTTTCTTTCTTTTTTTTTTTTTTTTGGTGACAGAGTCTTACTCTGTTGCCCAGGCTGGAGTGCAGTGGCATGATCTCGGCTCACTGCAACCTCCACTTCCCACGTTCAAGTGATTCTCCTGCCTCAGCCTCCCAGGTGGCTAGGATTACAAGCGCCCACCATGACGCCCAGCTAATTTTTTGTATTTTTGGTAGAGACAGGGGTTTCACCATGTTGGCCAGGCTGGTCTCAAATTCCAGACCTCAGGTGATCTGCCCGCCTCAGCCTCCCAAAGTGCTGGGATTACAGGCGAGAGTCACCGCACCCGGCCCAACATGGGTTATTTCATTGCATCCTTACAACAAGCTTTCAGATGGAGGATGAAATGGAGGCACGCTGGAAGCAGGCAGGGTAGGTAGAATTCAAACACAAGAGTTTAAATGTTCTGTCTACCGTCTCCCAAACACCAACCTCCCACAAGTTCTGTGACTCTTTCTGCCCTGGTTAAAGCTGACCTTCAGATTGACACAGAAACATGGTTTCCCCCAGATGAGCTATATTGTGAGGCTGGATTTATTTATTTATTTATTGAGACAGGGTCTCATTCCTGTTGCCCAGGCTGGAGTGCAGTGGCGCAATCACAGCTTACTGTAACCTTGACTTCCCCAGGTTCAGGTGATCCTCCCACCTGAGCCTCCTGAGTGGCTGGGACTTGACAGGTATTTGCCACCCCACCTGGCTTATTTTTTATATTTTTTGTAGAGACAGGGTTTTGCCAAGTTGCCTAGGCTGGTCTTGAACTCCTGGGCTCAGGTGATCCACCCATATTGGCCTCCCAAAGTGCTAGGATAACAGATGTGAGCCACTGTGCCTGGCAAGGTTGGGCTTTAGGTGCTTGAGGAAGAAGAGGAAGTAAAAGGGCAGGAAGTGTAGAATAGACTAGGAAGGAGACAGAGGAAATGTTGGCAGTGAGAAGGCAGGCCAACAGTTCCACCTGCCCAGTTATCTTCATCTTTATGGGAAGCTAGAATTCAAAATCACCATACACTGATTAGGTATGGAAAAATCTCATCAATTCAGTGAAAAAGGGTTTTCACATCCTAATGCCTAAATGTCAAGCCCTTTAAATCTTCCACTTGCAGTGTGTATCAGTTTTGTATTGCTGCAGTAACAAAATCAGTATTCATTTGCCATGGCTGTTGTAACAAATTACCGTAAACTTAGTGGCTTAAAACGTTAAGTTTTATTCTCTTATAGTTCTGGAGGTCAGAAGTCTAAAATTAAGGTGTTGGCAGCACTGCATTTCTTCTGAAGACTTCAGGGGAAAATCTATCTCCTTCTGTTTTCCAGCTTGCATTTTCCAGAGGCTTCTTGCATTCCTTGGCTTGTGGCCCATTCTTCCATCTTTAAAGCCAGCAGCTTCTTCTCTCCTATCTGACATATGCTTCTGTTCTTACAGCTTTCTCTACTCATAGACTTCCGTCTCCCTCTTATAGGGACCCTTGTGATTACATTGGACCCAACTAAATGCTCCAGGAGAAACTTCCCATCTCCAGATCTTAATTTAATCACACCACCAAGGTTGTTTTGCATCTAAGGTAACAAATGTATAGCTTCTGGGGATTAGCAGGTAAACTTTTTTTTTTTTTTTTTGAGACGGAGTCTTGCTCTGTCGCCCAGGCTGGAGTGCAGTGGCACGATCTCGGCTCACTGCAAGCTCCGCCTCCCGGGTTCACACAATTCTTCTGCCTCAGCCTCCCGAGTAGCTGGGACTACAGGTGCCTGCCACCTCGCCCAGCTAATTTTTTTGAATTTTTTAGTAGAGACAGGGTTTCACCGTGTTAGCCAGGATGGTCTCGATCTCCTGACCTCGTGATCCACCCGCCTTGGCCTCCCAAAGTGCTGGGATTACAGGCGTGAGCCACCGCACCCAGCCACAGGTAAACATCTTTGGGAAGGGTAGCACTATTCTGTTTGTCATACTCTTCTGTCCTTAGGAAAGTCATTTTTCTTTTGGAAAGCTTCCATTTCTCAAAAAAAAAAAAAAAAAAGGTTGGGGGGATTAGAATACTTCTTGGTCCTAATCTTATAGGAATATGTACATCATTTCAATTACAGATGTAAACATTATTGTTGCCTCAGTGTCCTCATCTGACAAATGGGATAAGAATGGTGTTTCTTCCTCATTCGGTTAAAAATCTGTATTGCTTACCTACTCTGTGCAATGTTGTGTTCATGTTCCATTGGAAAGGCCCCGACACAGTGCTACAGAAAAAAAAAAAACACTCAGCAAAAGGTAGCTGTATAAGTTAGATGTTATAGTCTTAACTATGTGTCAGCAACAGACAGAGATGAGGCCAATTCTCTTGAGTAACCAACCATCTGATGACTCATATCATCATGCAATGTTTGGAAGAGCAGCAATAAGCTCAGGTTTCAAGATGCTTCGGTGATCATGAACTTGAGGGCCTGTCCACTGAGCTGAGGTGTCAAAATGAGCCTCAGTATTTCCCGTGGTAGGTGACAGGCTGAGGGCTGTTACCACCAGAGGCTGTTGCTGCCATTCGCCTGGAACCACGTTTGTTGATGATCAGGGGAACAAAAAGCAGCAGCCGTGTCCACCAGAAGAGAGACATTAAGGTTGATTAAGTGAGTGGGCCAATTAGCGTCTGGCTTCATGCAGTGTGGAGTTAATTAGCCTCTACAAAACAACAACAGCTGCCTTGATGGTAGGGCAGGAGGCCCAGCAGAGAGGAGCCAGGGGAAGAGAAGTGAGAGACCTAGTGCTTAATAACTTGGCTGCAGTGGGCCCTGCCCCACTAAAATGTAGAACAAAGCCCAGGGCAAACTTGCTTGCCTGCTTCCGGACCGTGCATGGGGTGGAGAGCCACAGTCTCCGCCCGTTAGGGAGAGGCCAAACTCAGACCTCAGACTTACATTTCTTTTTGAGACTAAGTCTAGCACAGCTTAGTTTGCATTCTAACAAAAATCGCTGCTCTACACGTCATCTTGATCCTTAACTCCCTAATTCACAGTTTCCTAATGTTGATATTTTTTCCTTATTACAAAAGTAATACATACTTATTGGGCGGCATTTGGAAAGTACAGAAAAATACCTAGAAAAAATAATCCCTTGATCTTGAAATAGATTCTTTCATTCATTAATCATTTATTGTTTACCTACTAAATACCACTGCTGTTCAAGGTGTTCAGAAAAAGCATATATCAGTTTAGTTTTTTCTCCATGCAAATATATATGCTGTTTTACAAATTGAACTCACTGTGCATGATCTTTAATTATCCCCTTTTTAGCAATGCGTCACCATTTTTCCTATCCTGTTTTAAAATGTTTTTTTAACTACTTAGCCTCTGTGGTTCCGCTAATTACACATCATTGTATTGCGCATTTACTTATGCCTTCTGCCTCCTCTTCTAACAAAGTTCTTCAGGGTAGAGACAATACCTTTTTACCACTATATCCCCCATAGCTCAGAGCCTAGATCAAAGCCGAGCATGTGGTGGGCACTCATTAAAAATGCGATAAATGAGTAAGTAAATGAGTGAACGAATTTAGCCAGTCCTTTCTTGTGGGCCACTAAGGTTGTTTCCACTTCTTTACCATTGACAAAAGCTGTTGTACCAATTAAGACTGGGTTCAAATACAAGTGACAGAAACTCCTCCAAAGCAGTGGCTTAGACAAGATAGAAGTTTCTTTTCTTTTCTTTTCTTTTTTTTTAACAAAAGCCAGGAAATTAAGGCCAGGTGCCATGGTTCATGCATATAATCCCAGCCCTTTGGGAGGCTGAGGCAGGAGGATTGCTTGCGTCCAGCCTGGGCAACATAGTGAGACCTTGTCTCTACAAAAAAAAATTATTTGGGCATGGTGGTGCACGCCTGTAGTCCCAGCTCCTTGGGAGGCTGAGGTTGGAGGATTGCTTGAAGCTGGGAAGTTGAAGCTGCAGTGAGCTGAGATCGCGCCACTGCACTCAGACCTTGGTGACAGAGTGAGACCCTGTCTTGAAAAAAAAAAAAAGGCAGAAAATTAGTCCAGAACTTGTATGATGCTTTGCTATTCATTGGTATGGAAGCTAAAGCTTCCAAGCAACACAGAAGGGAAAGGAGAAGGACATGGACCTTTCCTAGAAGTTCCAGATACCACTTCTGCTTGCATTCTTATTAATGAGGATTTAGTCACATGACTGTATTAACTGCAAGGGAGTCTGGGAAATGTGGTCTTAATTATGCAGCTAATACCCAGAGCTACTGTAAATTAGGAAGAAGGGGAAGAAAACTGGGGGATCATAGCTGGCATGGCTCTTTGACCCCTGGGTTGACCCCAACCTCTAGCTAGTCCTTCTGTAATGCAACCCTTAGTTTCTCTAGATGTGGGGGTCTGGATATCTGTCAGGTCAGCCTGGCTTATTGGCTTCAGGCCTGGGACCAGTGTACTGGAAGGGTTTTAGTGCCTTCATCTCCCTGATGTAAACTTCATCTTGCCAGTTGACTTAGTCATCACCAAAGATTGACTCAATAAAGATGCCGCATTTCCCAGAGGATGGTTTTCTAATTAGTGTGAAGAGAAAGTTCCAGCTGTGAGGACAGGAATCCGAGTTTCTGAAATGCAATGATTATTAGTAACAATCAATCAACCAGCTTCACAGGACAATGGAGAAAAAGCCAGCTCTCAAGGATGCTATGTGGAGCAAGGATGATGGCTGCCTGGAACAGGAGGCAGTGTGGCTCAATTGCAATGTGGCCAAGCCCCTGAGACAGAGAGAGACTTTGTAACAAGGTTTTACTGCCTGCAGGAAAAATCCTGCCAAAATGCATTCGGGAACGTGCTGGGAGACATGTATTCATTATTATGCCCCTAGCAGCTATCGCAGGAAACCATCTGGGCTCAGTTGGCCTATAAATTTGCAACTTGCAGTTGGGTGGGCTACAGGGAATTGGCCAAGCAGGAAGTCAAGGTGTGAAGTGGATCTGGCAGGTTCTATACACAGGGCTAGCTCAGAAAGTTGCCACTACTCGCAGTTATTTTTCCTTTTAATTTTTTATTGTGAAAAAATCACACATAGAGAAAAGTGCATAAAACATAAATGTACACTTTAACAAATTATCATAAAGTGAATACAGATGCTATAATCACCCGGGTCAAGAAATAGGACATTGTCAGCTCACTAGAAGCGTCCTATGTGCCCATTTAAACACAACACCCCTTTTCCTCCCAAAGATCACAATCCTGATTTTAAGTATAACTTCCTTGCCTCATTTGACCGTTTTGCCATTTAAGTGCTCACTCCAAAACAATAGTGTCTATTTTTGAACTTTATATTGTTGTACAGAATCATAGAGTTCATATTCTTTTGTGTCTGGATGTATTTGTTTATTGATTTATTGATTTTTTTAAGAGACAGGGTCTTGCTCTATTGCCCAGGCTGGAGTGCAGTAGTGTGACCATAGCTCCCTGCAACCTTGAAATCCTGGGCTCAAGTGATCTTCCTACCTCAGTCTCCTGAGGAGCTGGGACTCCAGGTGTGTGCCACCACATCTGGCTATTTTTAAATTTTTTTTGTAGAGATAGGGTCTTGCTGTGTTGCCCTAGGCTGGACTTGGACTTCTGGCCTCAAGTGATCCTCCTGCCTCAGCCTCCTGATGGATTTTCCTTTGTGCTCAACATTCTTTAAAAGGTTTATCCATATTGCATAATATGAGCATAAAGCCTACTTTGTGTATTTTCATTACTGAATATTATTTGGTTTACCTATTTTACTGCTTTTAGACATTTTACTGTTCCTGGACATTTGGGTTGTTTTCAGTCCGGGTTTATCACAAATAATGCTGCTAGGAACATTGTTGTACATACAGGCTTTTGCACATATGTGTGTTTGAGAACCACATCTGTAATTCTCAAACTTCAGTGTGCATAAAAATAGCTGGTGAGCTTGCAAAGATAGAGATTCCTATTTTTTTTTTTTTCCCTAGTAATCCTGATTGAGTAAGTCTAGGGTGGGGCCCCTAAGTTTTCATTTCCAACAAATTGTTACTGAGCTACTGAACCCTGGACCACGCCTTGAGTAACGTTACAGAGCAGGGGTTGGCAAACTACCTCCCATAACCCAGAATGGGCCCACTACCTCTTTTGTACAGTCCATGCACTAAACATGATTTTTACATTTTTTAATGGTTGGAAAAATCCAAAGAAGGTACATTATATGAAATTAATTATATAAAATTCAGGGCTGGGCACAGTGGTTCACACCTGTAATCCCAGCACTTTGGGAGGCTGAGAGGGGAGGATCACTTTAGTCCAAGAGTTCAAAACTAGCCTGGGCAACATAATAAGACACCCATCTCTACAAAAAGATGTTTTTAAAAAGTAGCTGGGTGTGGTGGTGTGTGCCTGTAGTGCCAGCTACTCAGGAGGCTGAGGTGGGAGGATCACTTGAGGCCAGGAGGTCAAGGCTACAGTGAGCCGTGCTTGCGCCACTGCACCCCAGCCTGGATGACAGAGTGAGACCCTGTCTCAAAATAACAATAAAAATTTAAAAAATCTCAAATTTTGGTGTCCATAAATAAAGTTCTAGTGCACACAGCCACGCCAGTTTCTTTCTGCATTGTCTGTGGCCACTTTCCTGCTCAGCAGAGCTGAGTAGTTGCAACAGAGACCACATAGCCTGCAAAGCCTAAAATATTGACTTTTTAATCTTTTACAGAAAAAGTTTTCTAATGCTTGATTTAGAATATATGCTTTTGAGTTGGGATTACTGTATAATAGGATAGGCATTTCTAACGGTTTTAGTAGATAACATCAGTTCTTCAAAGTGGCTGTGCCACTCTGCATTCCCATTGGCAGTGAATGAAAGTTCCTATTGCTTCATGTTCTTACCAACACTTGGTTTTGTCAGATTTTAGACCGGGTGTGGTGGCTTATGCCTGTAATCCCAGCACTTTATTTATTTTTATTTTATTATTATTATTAATGTTATTTATTTATTTATTTATTTATTTTGAGATGGAGTTATGCTCTTGTTGCCCAGGCTGGAGTGCAATGGCATGATCTTGGCTCACTGCAACCTCCACCTCCCAGATTCAAGTGATTCTCCTGCCTCAGCCTCCCGAGTAGCTAGGATTACAGGCACGTGCCACCGTGCCCAGCTAATTTTGTATTTTTAGTACAGATAGGGTTTCACCATGTTGGCCAGGCTGGTCTCAAACTCCTGACCTCAGGTGATCCATCTGCCTCAGCCTCCCAAAGTGCTGGGATTACAGGCTTGAGCCAGCATTATTTATAATAAGGGACATTGAAAACAAATGTCAGGCAATAGAGGAATGGATAAGAAAATTATGGTTATGTTCGGATGATAAGATACAGTACAGTTATGAAAAGAAAAATTACAGCAATATGAATCAATGATTTTAATACAATTTTAAGTGAAAAAGAATGGAGTGCAATGCTACAGAAAAAAATTATATATGTGGGAAAAAATAGATTCATTGGAAAAAAGTACCGGAAGGAATATATTGTAATGGTAACAGTTGTTACGAATATAGGTGATTTTTTCTTTTCTTCGGTTTTCCAAACTTTCAGTTCTGTGTTTATGTAAGTTTATAGTAAAGACATAAGTAAGAAACCACTTCCTATTGCTGACTGGCTTCTGTTTTTCAAAGTACTTGCCATGCGCCGGTCAATATGCTAAATGCTTTACAAGTGTGATCTCATTTAATCCTCAGAACCCTTATGGGGTAGTGTTTTAGGTTATTATCTTCTTACGAATAAGAGGAGGAGAAGGAAGCTTAGAGAGGGGAAAGAACTTGCCTCAAGGCACACGGTGGGAGGCAGAGTTGGGGCGTGGATGTGAATCCGTCAGGCACCACAGCCTGTGATCTTAACCCCTGTCCCAGCCCGCTACCACTTGCTACAGAACCGTGGGGTCTTTCCGGGGAAAGTGGGTTCAAGGATGGCTAAAGTGCTATTCTGCCTAGAAGAAAGCAGGTCATTTAGTCTCTAGACCCCTCCAGTTTTCTGACTCTGATTCTCAGCCCCATCCGACACTAACTAGCTGGGTGATCTTAGATAGCAAACCTATTCCTGCAGAACCTCGGCTTCTTCTTCTGTCAAATGCAATAAACAGACCTCTCCTCATAGGTTGTTGCATTGATCAATGAGAGGATATACAAACCCACATCCTACAAAAAGGAGACACTTTGTGAATTTATTTTTCTCTACTCAAGGACACAGGAAACTTTAAAAAAGCCCCAGGCTTTTTCTGTCACTTGGCCTCTGGTTATTGTCCTGGGTGTAATGGAGTGGAAAACTCTATACACGGCTCCCTCTGACAGTGAATTTCTAATCTCGGAAAACTTAATGGTTTTTGTCAACCTGATTGTCCAGTGAGAGTGGATTAGGAGAATGACTTCCCTTGTCACTAGAAAGTTGACTTGCTTCACAGCATTTTTCCTGATGCCGGTGGGAGGCATGATCGATACAACACAGACCTCAATACTTACCTGTGGTTTCGGAAGCTGAGGACAAAGGTTGGGAGTTCCATTTAAGTGCCTTCAGCCATTTCCAACTAAACCCAGGCGTGATGTGCATTAAGCGGTTCAGGCTGGTGACCCGGAGCTCCACGGTCTGAGGGGCAAACCAGAAATCTAGCAGTTGCTTTTTCCTGACCAGCGATGCAGAGGCCTCTTGGCTCAGGCTGGATTTGTCTTCTCTGCTCCAGTTTTCCCGTCTGCAGAAGAAAGGCCCATTAGTTACTGTCTGTGCTGCAAGGGAAGGATGGCCTTGCTGGTTTCTATATCAGGACTTACCAGAAACAGTGCATGGGAGCAAAAATGGACAGGGACTACTAATGGAAACTTGGTTCCAAATCCCCTTACACACGGTCAGCCCAAGGCCCAGAGGCCACACGTTGCCTAGGGCAGCTCTTGCACCAGGCTACACTCTGCGGCAGATGGAACTGAGAGACAGACTTCAGTGTCCACCAGAATTAACTCCTGCCACATCCAGGGCAGCCCCCTCTGTCCTGGATGGCAAAACAAAGCCCTATTTTACTTGAAGCACTTAAAATCATGTTGCTTCCTTGGGGAGGTCTTCCCAGGCTTTTTAGGCTAGGTCAGGTCCCCCGCTAGCACTTTCTCTTCACTACAGTCATTATGATTAGAAACAAATGATGATCTATATCCATTAGACCACAAGCTCCATGAAGGCAAGGGTCTTTGCTTGCCTCATTTGCTGCTGATCCAAAGCATATAAACGTATTCAGGACCATAGTATGTGCTCCAAAAATATTTGTTGTATGCTTGGTATTAGTCTGTCCTCACATTGTTATAAAGAAATCCTGGAGACTGGGTAATTTATAAAGAAAAGAGGCTTAAATTGGCCCACAGTTCCACAGGCTGTACAGGAAGCATGATGCTGGCCTCTGCTTGGCTTCTGGAGAGGCCTCAGGAAACTTACAATCATAGTGGAAGGCGAAGGGGAAGCAGGCTTGTCTTACGTGGCCAGAGCAGGAGCAAGAGAGGGTGGAGTTCTCACAAGAACTCACTATCGCCACGATAGCACCAAGGTAGACGGTGTTAAGCCATGAGAAACCACCCCCATGATCCAATCACCTCCCACCAGGCCCTACCTCCAGCATTGGGGATTATAATTTGACATGAGATTTGGGTGGGGACACAGATCCAAACCATATCACATATTAATTAATAAACCAATCTAATTACTTGTTTATGTTCGTCTCCCTTATTTGAGTAGAAGCCCTATGGGGGAAGGAACTGTGTCTTATTCATCCTGTATCCCTAGGACCCAGACAATGCCTGGCATGTAGTAGATACATCATAAACATTGGAGGAATAGTAAAGTACTTAGAATTTTTATGTTGAATTAATGTAAAATTGATAGTATGAATTTTAGTTATTTAAGTACTAACACTACAATAGTTATTATAGAAAAAGAGAGTAACAGACCCGTCTTCCACTAACGTCACCACTCTTAGACAACTACTTTAGTTATTTTGATGCTTTCTTTTTCAAAGTTTTTCATTTGTGTATTTTACACACAATTTTAATCCGGTTATTTTAAGTACACATGTGCACACACATGCACACACACACACAGAAACACACATCAACAACTGCCCAGGTGGCAGGGAGTTTTGTGGATTTAATGGCAGGAAGGGAGGCCTAGTTGAATAATGTCTTTCTTATTGTTATAATTAATTATTGGCCCTACAATGGAATTGATAGCATCATGGGAACCGCGACTGAGAAGTATTGCTCTCTAAATGTTCACCCCTGGGGTCAAGGCAAATCTGGCTATGGAAAAAAATGTGCAGGTTAGAAATAATCCACAGGAAAATGCTCAGAAATCAGGGAAATTTGCTATGGCCGCGTCTCAACATAAACCACTTACGTAAACTGCAGTGGGCTTCGTGGTTCAGGATTCATTCCTCAGCCTTTTTTGTTTGGATCATTATGTGGAAATCAACCCAGTTTCTGTCTTTAAGCCCCTAGTGACATGTTGCCAACAGTGACTTCTAGGTGATTATAAAAGTGAGGGAACCACCGTATAATTGAAAAAACAAATCTAATCAAAATTCTGGTCTGCTATATTCAAAACACAATTCTAAAGGCTAGGAGGGAAAGGGTCTACTTCCCGTAAGGGGCAGCCTGTAATAGTAGAAAGCCTCTTAGCTGACAAAGAGAACTTGTGCAAACTTCTTGTTGATAAATAAGGTAGGCAGAAAGTTGAGTGGACAAAAGACTCATGTATTGGTGGGGGACCACTTCTGGGGTTGGATAGAGGCTCTGTGTTAGTTAGAGGTAAAGAGGTATACTTTGATCTTGCTCTTTTGTGTTTTTTTTTGCCTTTTTCCGACCTGGAATAGAAAACAGGAGTAAGGGGTGAGGAAGGAGCCGATCTGAGGTCATTAACACAGCACTCCTCCAGGAGATGGTTTACATGGCAGGCAGAGGGACCAGGTGTTAGTTCTAGCTCTGCGCTCACTTTCATGTGTGAACCCTTCTCGGTCCTAGGGGTGATGATGACCTCATGCCACCTTCACAGACTTGTAAGGACTGAATCAGACCCTGGCTATAAAAGCACTTTGAAAAGCACATAAGCAAATGTTTTTAAATGAAAAGTGAGGTGCCAATGTTGCAAGAGGAAGCCATACTATTGAAAAGCCCTCATGAGGACTTTTAACATCCAAGCTCCAGCAGCCTTATAGGAGATTCGTAAGTTGAGAGCTCAGGGATTTTTGCATTCTGGAGGCACCAAGAGATAAGGGAGTAGGGTTTTTTTTTAAACATACAAAGGAATGCAAAAGTTAACAGGCACTTGATAATAGCTGAGTTTAGTGGGAAAAAACATCAGTATATGTTTCTACTTCCTGAAATTTTCCTTTCTATGATATTTATGTATTTATAAAACAAAAATGGTAAAAGAAGATGGCTAGTCATACAAACATTCTAAGAAAGTCTTCTAAGGCTAAAGAGTGATCTAATAAACAACATATTTTAACAGGCTCCATTTGTTTTTACCTTATGAATTGACTTATCCATTTAATAAATATGTATTGAGTATCCACCTAAAGATATAAGAAGGAAATAATTCACTTCTGTAGGGTGGGGATTATACTATCAAATCTATTGGGCATTGCAAAGACGCACAGAACAGACTAAAATGAAATTGCAGGCTCAAAGTGCCATTCAAATTCAGAAAGGAAACACTGCATGGTGTAGCAGGGACTAATAGTTGCTCACCAAATCCATATTTTCCTCTCCTTCCTGGGCACAAAGATAAACTATATTTCTCAGACTCCGTTCCTTTTTTTTTTTTTTTTTTTTTTTGATAGATGAGGTCTTGCTCTGTTGCCTAGGCTGGAGTGCAGTGGTGCAATCATAGCTCACTGCTGCCTCAAGTCATCCTCCTTCCTCAGCCTCCAGGGTCACTGGGATTACAGGTGTGAGCCACCACAGCTGGCTCCGACTCTCTTGCATTTAGCTACAGCTGCGTGACGGAATTCTATCCAATTGCACGAGATTGGAAGTTTCGTTCATCACTTTCAAGTCTGGCCCATAAAGGTTTCCCACACACTGCTCCTTCATGCTCCTTCCCCATCCAACTGGCTGGAATTGAGAGGACCTCACACGTTGAAGACAGCAGAGCCTCCCTCTCCCTGGATCTTTAAACAGTTACACGGGAGAAGCCTGCCCTGCCAACTGTTCACCAATCCAGTACTATTAGGGGAAAAGAAGTGAACTTCAAGGATGTGGAGTCATTATATATTTTGAGATCCCTTGTTTAAGCAGCTATTCTAATTTAACTAAGACAGCAACTAATTCTTCAACTTTTACATCTGTAAGATGGAAGGAATGAGTAGTAGTAACAGATATTTAACAGCAATGGATGCTTTTGCTATTTGTCATAGACAAAAAAGTTCAAAGGGTTTGGGATTCTTTTTATGATTGTTCCAGGGGCTGTCTTCTGGGACAATTGGTAGGATCATCTTTACACTTTTCTTTGCCTTGGTTCTTCCATGGCAAGATAGATAGATAGATAGATAGATAGATAGATAGATAGATAGATAGATAGATAGAAAATAGATTTTTTTGAAGGTAAAGTATAACCATTATGCTCTCTAAAATGGCGGCAACCAATTGAACTCCTTCATTGGCAGGTGGAGATATTAAAGCAGGATATAAGGCATCAGGAAAAACCTGGTTTTCTGTATCCCTGGTCATTGCTCTGCCAACTCACCCCTGCCCAGGTATTTATAGTAATGTCAGGCATCTTTAGCCTGAGCCTTATCCAGACACAAGGCCAATGGTATCATGGCTTCATGGTACCACAGGAACTTGCTCTTTATTAATGAGCACATGCGGTCTGGAAATAGGCTATTTTCAGCTGCTTTAGCCTTTGATTAGGATGCTGTTGGTTAATAGTGATAGAAAACTCAAATCAAGGTGATTTAAGCTAATAGAGAATTTATTGATCCATGTAACTGAAAACTCCAGGGTTAGGGGCTGGCTCTAGGCACAGCTGGATTCGAAGGCTCCAACGATGTCATTAGGACTTGGTCTTCCTGGGCCTCTCTTCCTTGCCCTGCTCTATTTCATCTTTCAGTCTTGGCTCCATACGGTGGCAAGATAGCTGCAGCAACATCAGCTACCCAAGGTGACCCTTCTCTGAACCAATCCCAGTGGCCTGGGAGGCACCATGCTTTGATTAGCCAGGCATGCTCACGTGGCCTACTCTGGAAGTTGGATGTGGGAACTCCACCAAGAACACAGGGACTAAGAGTAAGGAAGGAATGGCTTTCCAAGGGACTATCAAGGGGGAGAGATGGGTGCCAAGGAGCCAACCATGCCAAGTACCAAGAGATGAGGGGGTGCTATGTTCAGATTGTAGCTTTGTGCTGCACCTTTACACCTCCCTGCTCTGGTGGTGCTAACCCACCTCCCTGGCCCTTCTAAATCCTGGGAAGGGGGACTCAAGTCCTTATTCAGAACTCCAGCAGCAGGCTATAAATCCTGTCCCACTTGCCTGAGCCCTTTCAGCCCCTTCACTCAAGGCTAGTTTCCAGATTACCCTAACCTGGAGCTGGCGCCATGTCCTGCAGGAGACGGGAGAGGGCAGAGGGCAGCTTCGGGCTCTTAGGTAGAATTTCTTCTTTTTAAATTTTAATTATTATTTTTTTGAGACAGAGTCTTTCTCTGTCTCCCAGGCTGGAGTGCAATGGTGTGATCTTGGCTTACTGCAACCTCTGCCTCCTGGGTTCAAGTGATTCTCCTGCCTCAGCCTCCTGAGTAGCTAGGAGTACAGTCGCACACCACCAAGCCTGGCTAATTTTTGTATTTTTAGTAGAGATGGGGTTTCACCATGTTGGCCAGGTTGGTCTTGAACTCCTGACCTACATTGATCCTCCCGCCTCGGCCTCCCAAAGTGCTGGGATTACTGGTGTGAGCCAAAGAGCCTGGCCTTACATAGAATTTCTGCCTATGGATCTCACTTTTCTCTGCATTAATACTTACCGCTCTGTTTTCTGACTCTGTTGCCATCAATTCCCCATACAACTTCCTGCCTATTCCATCAGGTTGGGCTCTGTGGTTATTGTCACCTGCCTAAATTGCACTTGGGTTTTACTCACACTCCTTTGGACCTAACTGTCAAGTTCTCAAGAGAGAAGGTCCCATCTCTTTGGTCTTATCGCAGTGAATCCTTACACCACCACCATGAAATGGGCATTATAATTCCTACCTTTTACAGGTAACAGAATAGAATAGAATAGAGGCATGGCAAGCTAAAATAACGAGTCCATGGTTACACATCTGGCAAGGGACAGAACTAGGATTCAAACACAGCCGGTCCGACACTAGGGGCTGTGCTCCTAACTTCTACATGATAGTGCTCAGTTTTAGGGGGAGAGGCTCAGGTGTTACAAAGGGCTTACCCAGAGTTGGGGAACAGTCCCAGGTAGACTATGCCAAACCAAAACAGAACCATCACCAGGAGTTGGCAATGAGTTGTCAGGCTGTCCTAACCTAGAGATTGGGCTCAGCCAATGTCACCAACAGGGAGGAACTCAGACCAGGAACACAAGGGCTCAGAATCCAGTTGCTAAGGTCCGAATAACAAGTGCAGGTGCCCAAATCTGGGGAGGGCAGGGCCGGGGAGAAAGGTGATCTGCCAGGAGGCAATTGACCTGCCCCCTTAAATGCAGATGTTTCCTTCCTCAAGTGCATATCTTGGCTCATGATTCAACCCCTTTATACTCATAGAATCTGGACCTCAAAACATTAAACAGAGATGTTTACTGTGGGTTGGGAAGGGGGACAGAGGTGGAGAGCTAGAGTTCAAAAACCGTATGAAGATGTTTTCTGAGCTGAATACCCCCAGTAGGGCCACACGATGCCCAGGGGACTCACTAGGAGATTTAAGGCATGTACAGAGGTAAGAGAAAATGAGAAACAAGAACATGAAAACTAGAAGAGGAAGGAAGACAAGGCCAAAAAAAGAGAAAACCGAGGCCACTCTAGCGGGAGGTCAGAGACTTGTGCTTTGGCAATTACTGGAGTTGTCCCACAGCGCTGCCCCTCAGAAACCTACACCAGGGTTGGAGGGAGCCATGGGTGGACAGGCTGTACCTGATAACTTGTGCTTCCTTCCCCCAGTTTTCCCACTCTCGTTAATGAGTTTTGAGACAAAATGTCTCTCCCCAGGCTAGAAGAGCTTCAGTAACAAGATGTCCAGAGTTAGTTGACACTCAGGTGAAAAGCCTCTTGCAGAAAGGAATTTTTTTTTAATGCCATCATAAAACTTCCCAGCTCACCTAGGCCTGCCGTGGAAATGGTGCCTCCAAGGACAGAGAGGAGATCAGAGCATCTGATCTGAAGCCGAGGCATAAGGGAAAGTTGGGAATACACAATCCTCTCCCAGACAGAATCAAACTTGCCTTTCTGCAACATCTGATTTTGCAAGAAGTGACGGACTGAGAGTAGGAGAGGAAAAGGAGAGTTCAAACAAGGTCACTTGACCCACCTAACCCTGTCCAGAGGAATGAAGCCTGAGAAAGCCTCCCAGAGACCCGTCCTCAATTTCGCCTTGACCTTTTCTGGGTTTATCCATGTGCAGCAGGGGCAGCTGTCCCGAACTAATCCTCTGCCTAATTCGAGCTCTTCACCCTCCATTCTGTCTCAATTAAACAAACGCGGGTCTGCCAGGCCGTTTCCATAGACCACTCCCTCACATGAGAGGCATTCCAGCATCTGGGCTCTGGAGTCAGGAAGAGCTCTGTCCAAATGTCACTCTGCCATTTCCTAGCTGAGTCACCCTGGATGACTGCCCATCCCTACGCCTCTGTTCTCTCAGCAGTGAGTTGGGGAAAATTGTACTCATCTAGAAGGGCTCAGAGAAACAACAGGGAGAGAGTGCTGAAGGCATTGTGATGAAAAATATTGCTGAATTATTAAACATTAAATTATCAAAATTATTAATCGCATTAAAATATCATTACACACTTACCTGACCCAAAGTCTTAATGATAGGGTTCAAGAGGCTTTTCCTCCCAGAGGTGCAGCTTTGAGGGGCTTTTGTACACTGGCCCTAGAGACACAGGGGTGAATAAGACAGGTACCAGCTCTCAAAGGCACACAGTGAGCAGGGGCCACAAGACAGCCTAACGCTCAACTAGAATCAATGCTAAACATACTATGACAGATAAATGTACAGTGTGCTCTCAAGAGATAACAGTGCCCACCTAGGAAACTTAGGGAGTTGTCATTTGATCTGGGCCTGGAAGAGCGAGCTGGATTTGATTGGATGGATTGTTCTTGGCAGAGGAATGACATTTCAGGAAGAGGGAACAGCAGGAGCAAAAAGTATGATGTTTGGATTCCACTCGGGATATTGGGAACACATGAGAAGGACTAGAGAATGCAGTCTGTTATGTGGGATGGCAGGCTAGGAGATGAGAAAGGTAAGCTAGTCAAGACTCGGAAGTGGCTAATACAACTGAAAGTGGTCCCATAGGACAATGGGAGAACTTTCAGTGATGATGGAAATGTTCTACATCTGCCCGTCCAATATGGTAGCCACTGGCCCCATGTGGCTATTGAGCACTTTATTTATTTATTTATTTTTATTTTTTGAGACAGAGTCTTACTCTGTCACCCAGACTGGAGTGCAGTGGTGCAATCTCGGCTCACTGCAACCTCTGCCTTCCGGGTTCAAGAGATTCTCCTGACTCAGCCTCCTGAGTAGCTGGGATTACAGGCGCACGCCACCATGCCCAGCTAATTTTTGTATTTTTAGTAAAGGCGGGGTTTCAACATGTTGGCCAGGCTCGTCTCAAACTCCTGACCTCAAGTGATCTGCCTGCCTCCGCGTCCCAAAGTGTTGGGATTATAGGCGTGAGCCTTCGTGCCCGGCCTATTGAGGACTTTACAGGAAGCTAGTAAGACTGAGCTGTGAAATTTTTAGTTTTATTTAATTTTAATTAGTTTGAATGTAAATTTCAATAGCCACATGCAGCTAGTGGCTACTATTCTGGACAGTATAGCCACAGAACTTATGACAATGACTCAAGGCCCTCATCTTGCAGTCCCATCCTCAGCCCATAAAATGGGAGCCCCGCCCAAGCTGCTGCTGTGATTATGCAGCAGGGTAGATGAGTTTGGGGCTGAAATATAATTTATTTCCTGCTTGCTAAGCCACGCACTCTGATGTGGCAGTGTCTGCCCAGAGGAAGAGGCAGCTTTTTCTAATTCTTACAGAGGCATCATGTGGGCTAGCAGTAGCCCTGCTTCCTCTGAAGTTTGTTGCTCAGTGATCTGTCTGCATGTAGAGTCAGGTTTCTTTTCATCTCCTGCTTCCTGGAGTCACTGGGCCAGGTACGCACACCTGGAACATGGCCCAGGTGGGATGTGCTGGGCACTGACTGTTAGTGATGCTCCCACAGTGTGAGAAGGCCGGGTCCTCAGTATGGCTGTCAGTGTAAAGTTCTATTCTGCATCCCAAATTCTGCCCACAGGCAGATCCTTTGGCCTAAACTTGAGGAGGAGGTAATGATCTCTACTTTGACCACAGGTTGAAAGGGCAGTCACTATTCCACTTTGCCAGCAAGAGAGCACATATTATAGTTTAATTCTCACTTGGCTTCCTGGTCTATTTCTCAGTTGTTTCTAATACAAAGAGGAAAGGTAAAGTCATGATACTTTTTTGGAGCCTCCTACCTCCCAGCAAAAAGGACATGCACATACTTTCCAATCTTGAATGCAAAAGCGGTGACATATTCACGAGCCAACAAGTACACACATGACATTACTGCTCTAAAACACAGGCACAGACTGTCAAGAGTTGGAAGGAATATTGAATTCTAAAATCTCATCATAAGATGAGGAAACTTGAGTCTCAGAGAAGTTTGATGATCCGCTCAAGCCAGGTAGGAGCCAGATATGGCTAGATCCCATTTCTCCTGAATCAACCCATACCTAATTATTAAAATTAAAGGTTGCGAACTGGTAGCCATTAGTTAAAGTCAGCCTGCTGATTTTTAATTTTTTGTCCTCAGTGTTGGCTCATGCACAACTTAAAAAATATTTTTGCCAGCCTGGCCAATAAAGCAAGCCCCATCTCTACAAAAGAAAAAAAAAGATTTTTAAAAAACTTAGCCAGGCATGATGACTTGCATCTGTAGTCTCAGCTAATAAGGAGGATGAGGCAGAGGACTGCTTGAGCCAGGAGTTGTAGTCTGTGGTGAGCTATGATCACACCACTGCACTCCAGCTTGGGTGACAGGGCAAGACCCTGTTTTGAAAACAAAATTAAAAAAATATATATATTTGGCTTTATTTAAAAGACGAAAGAATTCACTTTGAAATCCAAATTAACGAACATTTCTGGGCCTGTAAATCTACATGGTAGAAGGGGCTGAAGCAATGTCGTGCCTGATCCTACCATAGAGAGGATAAAGGGGAGGAATGAGGGATGGGGATCATTTCAGACACTGATAATTCAAGCAGTTAAGCTGGATCACAAAGTAATATATGCTGCTTTCAAAATGTCTAGTTCATGATTCATTATTGCTTATTATGAGGACTTAGAGTTTCAATCTGTAGAAGTTTCAATAAAATACAGATCTTAGAGATCATGCAGTCAAGCCAATTCATTTTACAGATGAGCATCACAGGTCCCAGACCACACACGCCTTCAGATAAAAACAGGGTCGCAGAGGTGGTGACCAGGCCGGAGTTGGTGGATTCCCCTGGCTCCTGCACTATGGGGGCGCTAGATCTGTCACATTCCTTGCCCCTTTACAAATAGTTTTGGGAGCAAATCCCCAGGAATGTTTCTTGTGGATTCACATGTATCAAGGATACTCATTTCCACACCAAAGGCATTGATGCCCCACCTGGCACATAACAGCCACTCAATAAATGTGTTAGATGAATGAATGAATGAATGTGTAAGTGTGAATGACCTCAAAGGTGAGTGATGCTGCCTAAACCAAGGTCATCGAAACTGGCCCTTAGGGCACCATTCCCTGAAGCCACCCGTGCCATCATCTTTATTCACAGCCAAGCAGCTGGCCCCAGAGCTTTGTGTCTTGCTCTTCCCCAGATATCTCAGTGAAAAGCCTTTGATTCAATTTTCACTCCCTCTCTTATAGCTCTCTTGCTCTAGGACTCCACTGGGGGTCCGAGAGCTGTTCTTCCTCTGCTATTTCCTGTTGTTCTTGAATAAAACAAATGCCCCTTCAACTTTGCTTCTCCATGGGACATGTTGTTCTCTGAGAGGCTCCTTGATCCTGCAAGTAATTAGGTCTGGAAGGGAGGGTGTCCTATTGGCCCTCCAGACTGGTTCAGACATGTCTAGACCCAGCTTAAATTACCTTGTCTGTTACACAAGGATGGTAACATGTTGGAAAGAAAATGAGACAAGCACTTTGCTGCTGTCTGGTAGAGCAGGTGGGGCTCCTGTTTAACATTTGCTGATCTCCACTTAAGAGCAGAACATCATCAGCCTTAGTCGCCATGCTGAAATGGGCTCTGTCACTTGGATAGCGTTTGTCAGTTGAAAGCTTTCTCTCCATAAACATCAACAGACTGGAAACCCAGTGAAAACTTTGTTTTTAATATTTAAAAATTAAGTCTCCACATGCACTCTGGGACAGAGGGGCAATAAATTACAACTTGCTATGTGCCAGAGATTATACTAATTGTATATCTGATTAAATTCTCACAACAGCCTTAAGAGGGTTTTGTAATCCTCATCTGCAGATGAAAAGTGGAGGAGGAGAGAGTAAGTGGCTTGCCTGAGTAAGGGCCAAGACGGAATTCAAACCCAGATTTTTGATGTCACAAAGCTAGTATCCTGGCGGGGCGTGGTGGCTCATGCCTGTAATCCCAGCACTTTGGGAGGCCGAGGCAGGTGGATCACTTGAGGTCAGGAATTTGAGACCCACCTGGCCAATGTGGATAAACCCTGTCTCTACTAAAAATACAAAAATTAGCCGGGCGTGGAGGCAGGCGCCTGTTATCCCAGCTACGAGGGAGGCTGAGGCAGTAGACTTGCTTGAACCCAGGAGGCTGAGGTTGCAGCGAGCTGAGATCACGCCCTGCTGCACTCCAGCCTGGGTGACAGGAACAAGACTCTGTCAAAACAAAACAAAAAAAAAAGCTAGTATCCTTCTCTTAGTGTTGCCCCCTGCAGAGGAACTGTTTTTTTTTTTTTTTCTTTTAAAGCACCCTACATCACATAATGTCAGCTGGACTTTTCTGTGATATTAACACTGGGATCCTGTAAAACACTATATTCTGACCATAGTCTGACACTCTGCATAATGAACAATTAGCCGGGAAAACATAGTATTTGAACCTCCTTTGCAGAGAGGAAATTCTCACAACTCCAAAGCAATAGTCAGCCCACAGTCAATGCCATCTCATCACCCAGCCCAAGGCTCGGCCTAAAACCTTCTAGAGGGTCTCACTCTAAAGATAACCCAAAGGTCTCACAGCTTCCTGGTTGCAAAAACGACAACAGGAGCAGGAATTGAGACCTAAAGATCATTTGGGTAGAAATGAGGAAAGAAATGACATGTTAAATGATGATTTTTCCCTAACTTGCCTTGTTCTTTCTAGATGTGGCTCAAGAACTTGCAGAGTTATGGTGGGATAATTCGACTGATCAAATGCTGAAAGTTTTCCTATCGACTTCAAGGCTGTTCAAATCTCTATGTACTTTGAAGTCTGAGGCACAAGATAATTTCCCAGAGATTCATGTTTCTATCGATGCTAGGCTGGGCTGACACAGATAACCCCTCAAGAGGCCTTTCCGAACTGCTGTATAAACTGTCCTGGGTCCAGCAATAAAGCAACTGTGTCATTATAGTTCTCTGCCCTTCAGAAGATCTGATCTTAATACCCTTCTCTTCTTTTTGTCCCTCTGATTTCATCAAATTTGTTGCCATTCTGGGTGTTTCTCCTTCTCTCCCCGACTTTTTCTACTTCAGATCAAAGAACTTCCCCTTTTTCCCACTTTTGGATTTGCGCCCTGGAGGACAACGCAAGGTTAACTTCCCTCCCACCTCCTCTTGTAGGCACACAGGGTGCCCCTTAGCCAGCGAAATCTCCGCGCCCGAGATCCTCTCACAATTTCAGGCTGGTGAATTGTAGTAGGAGACATGGTTTAGTTTGATGTGGTTAAGT
Source organism: Homo sapiens (assembly GCF_000001405.40). Lineage (NCBI taxonomy): Eukaryota > Metazoa > Chordata > Mammalia > Primates > Hominidae > Homo > Homo sapiens. The sequence goes on along the minus strand of NC_000011.10, from coordinate 33,894,130 downwards.
CAGTCATCATGGCATCTTCGTACCCTCAGCCCCAAACCGCTCTCCTACTCATCACCCTCACTTTCATTTCTTTGGATTATCTTTCATCGGCTTACCACCAGCCTTCACAGCCTCACCCAAGGCTGAAGCAGGGCTAGCAGGGTGGTGCGTTTCCTTCCCTGGTTGAGCTGGTGACTGCTGTGGGTAAGCAGGTCCAATGTGAACTCAATTTTACATTGAGAAAGAGAAAGCAAGAGTGAGTGGGCTGCTAAGACTGTTGCTTCATGGTTTCCCCTAAGCCCCAGAAATAGAAAGGCAGACTTCCGACTGGCAGAGCCCGTATGCTAACCACCAGACCACACTGCCAGATAAGAAAAATGTTCGATTGTGTCATACTTCCCTCATTGGCTCCAGTGTCTGAAAATGGCCCTGAATTTCAGAGAGTCTTACCATGACCCAGGGATTTAGAGAGGATCGAAGAGGGAGGACAAAGGAATCAGGCACCTTCTCTCTCTCTTTTCTGGGGTAAATTTATTTTCAACCACAAAAGTAAAGGAAAGAAAAAGTCACAACAGATGAGTTATGAGCTAACTTTCTGATTTGCACATGTAAGAGAAAGAAATGAACTGGATATCATTAGACATTGAGAAAGGGAGTCTGCAAGCTAGCAATGTATCTTCGGCCTTTTTGATTTACACGTGTTTATTTATGAGTACCTACTGTGTGCCAGGCATGATGCTTGGTGCTGCCAATTCAAAGAGAAATAAGACACCTCCTTGCAAAGTGAGAAGGCAGAACTAGATTCAGATTCACCTAGATTTCAACTCTTGTGCTCAGGCCACCACCACCACCATGGAAACAATTTTGCTTGACTCTCCCGGCGCAGCCGCGGCAGGCGTGTGTGTTGTCAGACACTGCAGGAAGAGTGATGGCCTGGGTGTTGACAGGCTCCTAATTGGAAGGTAGGAGGTGCCACCAGAGATCAGCTATAAAAGATATCTTTGGACTGGGGTGGGCTGCTAATGCTTGGAAGAGACTTGTGGGTGAGGCCCGGTGAGCTGTCACCTCGGAATTGGGCCTTGCCCAGCAGACAGACATGCATGCGGGGGAGGTAGCTGACAGACAGGGGCGCATGGGGAAGCAGCCATTCCAGAGAACTGCAACAGCAGATTGCAAACCAGGACTTCAGGACTCAGAGGGGGACAAGGAAAGGAGAGCCTATAGTGGCCCCAAAGCCCAGGGTCAGAGGCAGGGCCAGGAGAGCAGCTGACAAGAGCTTTATGGTAAGGACAAAAGAGAAGACAGCCGGAGTCTCCTTTTATTCAGCTCATAAAGACCCAACTTCTGTGCACTTATAACTGTTCAGACCCTGAGGGGTTCAAAAAAAGAACCGTGTTAGGAGAATTCAATATTTAATTAAGAGATGATCAGATCCGTGCACCGAAATTATTGCTGGGTAAGACAATACTGTGTGTGTTACATAGCATTGGAACTTAGGAAAGCTCTTTCCTTGTGTTGTTTAATTTAATCCACTCAACAACCCTGCAAAGTGGGTACCATTGTCCCTGTTTTTTATGAATGAGGGGGTGAGGTGCTGAGAAGCTGTGTACGTTATTTGAGTTTGTCTGGCTAGTCAGTGGCTGAGCCAAGTTCCAATCCAGGTCATGTGAGCCTCTGAACTTTCTGATAAAACCTGCAGACCCCCTTAACTGGGATAATATAGTCATGCATTAAGCAAGAAGGAGAAGTAAATACAGGCTGATGGTGTAGGGGAGAAATTCAAAGGGAGAAGGCCTAGGAGGGAGAGGGAGCTATGTGTGAACAGAACCAAAGATGGCCTCTGGGAATTGGAAGGTCTCTTGGAATTCGTCCAAACTGAGGATCACAAGTCTCCACATTCTGAGTAGGAGGATGAGGGTCTGAGTTAGGATTTGGGTCCTGCAGGGCTTGCTAAGGAATCCCCTGATGGCCTAGGATTCCACGCAGAGCACATCTGGTGTGAGAGAGCTCGCTGCAAGGGTGAAGGCTCCGCCCTATCAGATAGACAACCAGGCCACCAAGAGGCCCAGCCCTCCAAACCCTGGATTTGCAACATCCTCAAAGAACAGCAACGGGCCTTGAGCAGAATTGAGAAGGAAATACCCCCACCTGCCCTCAGCCGTTAAGTGGGCTTTGCTATTCACAAGGGCCTCTGGGTGTCCTGGCAGAGAGGGGAGATGGCACAGGCACCAGGTGCTAGGGTGCCAGGGCCTCCCGAGAAGGAACAGGTGCAAAGCAGGCAATTAGCCCAGAAGGTATCCGTGGGGCAGGCAGCCTAGATCTGATGGGGGAAGCCACCAGGATTACATCATCTGCTGGTGAGTAGGCTTCATTAATTCTCTGATGAATGGACGATTGCAAGGGAACTTTTTTCATCTTCAAGGAGCCAGAAGAAGTGGTGATTAAATTGGTCTTTTAAAATAAAAAGACTCCAAAGGGGTACAAGTCTTCAAGCTTCCCCTGTGGTGTTCCGGGCACTCTGGCTTCTCTTTCGGAGGGAGGAAGAGCATCTATTCATAGGCTGTGACTTGGAGAGGCCCCACGGTGAGTCAGGCGCTTGCTGTGTGAGCCGCTGGTTGCTAATGTCTTCGGGAACTGCTAATTTACCCATCTAATTTGTTCCTGTACACTGGCCACAAAGGGAGACCACTCAATTATTCTGATCCAAAAGAGAGGCTTGTGTTTACCATGATCTCCCCAGCAACTGTGTGAGTGTGTGTGCATGTGTGTGTGTGTGTGTGTGTGTGTGTGTGTGTGTGTGTGTGTTTGCCTAACAACCTTAGGCAATGACGAAGAGGTGGGGCTGCTGCCCTTGTTAGCATTTTCAAACACATTCCAGTTCTGAGTTGAGGGCAAAGATTGTAATGGGGTGCTTCAGAGAAGCCTTGGCTCCCAAGGAGGTTATAACTTCAAAGGGTGTTTTTGAAAAACCAAGGCGGATGAGGAAAGTGGCTACAAGTTCCTTCCATCACAGAGGATCAATGAAGGGGAACAAAGATTTGGGAGCATCTACTTTGTGCCAGGTACTGTGCTTGGGTTTTACACGTCTTCTCTTGTTGACTTTGCATAACTCCCCTTTGAAGCAGATATTACTCCAGGTTCTTGCCGTAATGTTTCAGCTTAAAGAAAACCAACCCATACTTCTTTAGGTTGCCCTGAAAAGGTGAATCTTCTGTGAAGCCTTTTCTGTCTTTATCTGTTAAAATTAATTAAGCTCTTGTTTGTGCTCCCAGAAAATCACTTTAGACCTTAGAAAGATGGCAGCCTCAGTTTTCTCATTTGTAATATAGGGGTACCCATAGGGTCATTGTGAGAAATAATAGAAATAAATCATGGAAGTGCTTGGATAGTAGCTGGTACTTAGCCCTCATCAGTCATCATTGTCATTGTTGTTAAGAGTAATAATAATAATAATATCACTTATTATAATTACTCACCTCTAGGTTTTTAAAAAACTTACAGGCCGGGCACATTGGCTAACGCCTGTAATCTTAGCACTTTGGGAGGCCAAGGCAGGCAGATCGCCTGAGGTCAGCAGTTCAAGACCAGCTTGGGCAACATGGTGAAACCCTGTCTCTACTAAAAATATGAAAATTAGCCACGCGTGGTGGCTCATCCCTGTAATCCCAGCTACTCGGGAGGCTGAGAGAGGAGAATTGCTTGAACCCGGGAGGCGGAGGTTGCAGTGAGCCAAGATGGCACTATTGCACTCCAGCCTGGGTGACGAGAAACTCCATCTCATAAAAACAAAAACAAAAACAAAAAAACTTACATAAATTTATGGGGAACAAGTACAATTTTGTGACAAGCGTAAATTGCATAGTCTTGAAGTCAGGGCTTCTAAGGTATCTATCACCAGATTGATATCTATTGGTATCTATCACCAGATTGATATCTATTGATATCTATCACCAGATTGATATCACCACATTGTACCTATTAATTAATTTCTCATCATCCTCCCCCCACCCTTCTGAGTCTCCAGTGTATATTATTCCATACCCTAATGCCATGTGTTCACATTATTTAGCTCCCACTTATGAGTGAACAGTGTGATATTTGTCTTTCAGTGTCTGACTTTTTTAACTTAAGATAACAGCTTCCAGTTCTACCCATGTGGCTGCGAGAGACATGATTTCATTCTTTTTTATGGCTGAATAATATTCCATTGCATATATATACACCACAGTTTTAAATCCAATCATCCATTGATGGACACTTAGGTTGATTCCACATCTTTGCTATTGTGACTAGTGCTACGATAAACATACAAGTGCAGGTATCTAATTATTTCTTTTCCTTTGGATGGATACCCAGTAGTGGGATTGCTGGATTGAATGGTAGTTCTAATTTTAGTTCTCTGACAAATCTCCATACTGTTCTTCCTAGAGATTGTACTAATTTACATTCCCACCAACAGCGTATAAGAGTTTCCTTTTCTCCACATCGCCACTAGGTTGTAAGTTCCTTGAATGTAGGGATCATGTCTCTTTTCTTCATTGTTTTATAACAAGAGCCTAGGAGTGTTTGGCACATGGCAAGTACTTGTTTTCTAGCTGACAGATGAATGAACAAATGAGTGAAGGATGCTTCCTCCTCACTGCTGTGAGCTTCTGAGAATGGACCCTTGTCTGACCTGCTTCTGTATCTCTAGTGTGACTGCTTTGTCTGGCACAACAGAACTGCTCAGCGATTCTGTTGAACGGATGCTGCTGCCTGGCCCGTATCTGGCCTGGAGAGTCTGGCTGCGAGCTCATCTGTGCTCTGGTCTGGCTAAGGTTAGCTGCAGCCCTAGGAACTCAGAGAGTGTGTCCTGGACATTTCACCCCTAGTTGGTGAGCTCCTCAAGGGTAGGGACGGTGTCTTGTTTATTTTTAAATTCTTGGTGCCCAGTACAGTGCCTGGTACACAGGAGATGCTCAAATGGCTACCCCTAGCCTCTGAGGTCCCACTGCACTCAAAGAAGAGCAGAGCTCCAAATGACCTTGTCATCTTTCCCCTATTACCCAAACCTGTTCAATTTCCCCATTTCTGTTTATTAAAGATCCATTTTCTCAGTTACAAAGATCCAAGACTCCTCGAGGGTATTCTACCCTAACGGAAATAGGACAGGCTTTGTAGTCAGACTTGAACCCTGGCTTTGGCGACTACTAGCTGTCCTGCCTGGAGAAGTTGCGTACCCTTCCTGAGCCTCAGTTTTCCCTTTCATTGAATCAGGATGATAATACACACTTCATTCATCCACTCAGCAAGTGTTTACTGGGCGCCTCATACACAGCAGGAACTGTTCTAGGCACTGCGGATACGTAGACGTCAACAAAACAAACATTGCTCTTGCCTGAAAGGGGCTTACAAACTTGAGAGGGGGAGACAGACACCAATCAAATAAGCAAGTACACATATAGTATGCCAGATGGCAATATGTGCTAGGGAGAAAAATAACACAGAGTGAGGGAAAATGGAATGCGCTGGCCCGGGTTATTAGTGTCTTACTCAGGTGATGAAGGAAGACCTTTCTAATAAGAAGAACTCACATCTGGGGAAGAATGTTCCCGGAAGAAGGAGAAGAGCAAAGGCCCTAAAGCAAGAGTTTGAAGAATGACAAGGGGTCCTGTGTGGATGAAGCAGAGGGAGGGAAGGAGGAAGGGAGTGTAAGAGAAGGGGACACAGAGATGGCTAGAGCCAGATATGCAGGGCCTTATAGGACTTTGGCTTTTTACTCTGGGCAAGAAGGAAACCTTGGGAGAGCTTCAAGCAGAGGAGCGAAATGATCTGATGCAGGTTATGAAAGGATCCCCCTGGCAGTGGCACAGAGTATGGCCCCTGACCTGTGTGGATGGGGCAGAAGCATAAGGCTGGCCATTTGCATCCCACAAATGACCTCAGTGTGAGGGATGAGCGAGATCATATACGAATGCGCTTGCGTGAGTATGCATAGAGCAAGTGCTCAAGCCATGGCAGCTTCTATCAATGGCCCTGCAGCTGCCTGGCTATAGCTCCCTGGTCTCCTGCAGACAAGTCTTGGCCAGTCACGTGAGTGCCTCTGTCATTGCCCACTCAGTCATTCCCCCTGCCCCCACCTCCTTTCTTCAACCCTTCACTGGTGGTTAAGCTCCTAGCACAGCAGCCTCACCTCCAGCCTCTCCCCACCCCAACCCAACCCAAATGCAACTCCACTCACATCCTTCCCCTGTTCAAGAGTCTTCCATGGACTAGTGGCTCATTAAATCCACATTCTTGGCTAGGTGCAGTGGCTCACACCTGTAATCCCATCACTTTGGGAGGCCAAGGCGGGCAGATGGCTTGAGCCCAGGAGTTTGAGATCAGCCTGAGCAACATGGCAAAACCCCATCTCTACAAAAAGCAAACAAACAAACAAACAAAAAACAAAACAAAAGAACAAAACAAAAATTAGCCAAGCGTGGTGGCACACACAGCTGCTTGGGAGGTTGAGGTGGGAGGATCACCTGAACTCAGAAGGTCAAGGCTGCAGTGAACCACAGTATCACCACTGCACTCCAGCCTGAGCAACAGAGCAAGACCCTGTCTCAAAAAAAAAAAAAAAAAAAAAATCCACATTCCTGGAGACTTGCAGCTAAGGCCTTCCACAATAAGATGCTGCATTTACGTTTCCCACCCATAATCAACTGCTATCCCAAACATATTGAATATCTGTGGAGAAGTATGGGTGGGTGCAATATGTCACTCCTAGCAGAATCACTGAGGAAACTGACCACACTCATGATGGAAAATTGACGGTAATGAGTCCTTCCCTCAGGTTCCCCAACCCCACAATATGCCCTAACCATGGTGGACATGTATTCCTGTCTGTCACTGGCTCACTTCTCCCACCAGGCTACCGCAAACTCCACAATGATGTATATTCTCTTAAAGCTACAAAATGGCTTGTGGTTTCCAAATCAGTTTTCCTTACTGCTCTTATCTCCCTTGATACTTGCCCCTATGGGCCCCTCATCCATAATAAAATGCCCTCATTTTACACTTACTAGTTCTGACAAGAGTCCCAGGTTCCAAGTCATGGATTCCCATGTGGGATTGCTCCTCTGATCCTTCATTCCTATATCTTTTTTCAATCTATCCACAATTCACAAGGCATCGGTGTCAGACCAATGGCAAATAATAAGTGGGACCTGCTGGCTATGGATGGAAGAGCGAAGTCCCTGACAACATGTTTCTACCAGCCTGGAAATGAGGCTCTCCCATCCCCTAACACATCTACCAGTTGTGATGGATTTAAAGGCTGGCTAATGTTAAGCTTGTTCCACAGGGGATAGAATATTGGCCCCTGGACTGACACCTACCACCATGTGGATCTTGGAGCAAGACAAAGGAGCCCCCCAACATTCGTGTTCTGAAATAACAATGCCTGAGGCTGTCTATTCCCCACCACGGATGCCAAAGCACAGACAGCCACTCACAGCTGTGGGATACAGATGCCCCTGTCATTATAAAAGGCCAGCCCTAAATGCTATTACAGAGTCTAAAAACTGAAAATGTTATTGTGAAACCTTTAGGTTTTTTATAGCTGGCTATGCCTGATATAGCTGGTGGCCTGGGACACAGTTTCCCTACTCAGCGCTGGGACACCTCGGCAATACTGCACCCACAGTGTCATCCCTATCTGTTTGGAATGTACAATTCTTCTACAACACCATGGGCCAGGAATATCACATCATCCTGAGAAGCCATCAGGACAAACAAAAAGGAATGTGGTCCTGTATGTTTAGTCCCACCTCCCCTACAAACTACTTTTATCATAGAAATGATGCCCAATTGTCAGCCCAGCGCATGTGGTGTCCTCCAGCACCCCTTCTAAATGTGCCCTCAAGCACCCCTTCTGCTTTGTGCATCTTTGTGACACCCTTCCAGATGTCAGCCTATATCTCCATGACCCAAATCTGACTTAAGAGTTGTGGCCGGGCATGGTGGCTCATGCCTGTAATCCCAGCACTTTGGGAGGCCAAGGCAGGTGGATCACCTGAAGTCAGGAGTTTGAGACGAGCCTGGCCAACATGGTGAAACCCCGTCTCTACTAAAAATACAAAAAAATTAGCCAAGCTTGGTGGTGGGCACCTGCAATCCCAGCTACTTGGGAGGCTGAGGCAGGAGAATTGCTTGAACCTGGGAGGCAGAGGCTGCAATGAGCCAAGATTGTGCCATTGCACTCCAGCCTAGGTGACAAGAGCGAAACTCTGGCTCAAAAAAAAAAAAGGTGTACCAGCCCAGGGAGACAATGGCCACATTGCAGGTGATGACCACAGCCCAGCCAACCACTGCATCCTGGAGGCTGCCCACCAGTTACCCACATCATCTACCAAGGGACCCCCTTGCTGGAGCACAAACAGCTTCCCTTGGGGGATCCCTCAATCAGCATTTGTCACATACCTGAAAAGGGTGGCCACCACACAGGCCACCAAAGTTATAACTCTCTCCTCTCACTTCCTCCCCATTGGGCACAATAAACCTCATTGCCATTGTGGCTGGAACTTCCCTTCCTGGGCCTCCCAAAGCAATTCTACTGCCTAAGGCTATCTCCGGGCTAACTTGTATGTACACAGAGATAAAGCCACATCCCAGTGGCTGGACCTCATGCAATGTTGGGCCTCCTATCTGCCCCCATGAGCAGGCCACTCCCTTATTTGCACCACAAAACCACCAACACCAAACACTTCTGGTCTAGGCTCCTAGGTCTTGCCCTGTCCTATGTTGGCTCAGATGTTATCCAGTCTGGTCCCCGGCTCATGAGTCCAGATCATACATCTATCCAAATGTATAAATACATGCCTATGCTTGTATCTTCCTAGGCCCACACAGCACAACTAGTGTCATGGCCCACCCCAGATATTAAAGGAACACAAGAGATTGGAAGCCCCAGAGGGAACCTGCTTCACCTGTTCCACTCCTAGATAACTTCTTCCTGACGTCCCAAATACCTAAACTCACCTGCACACTGCTAAGTCTGACAACCCCCTTCACATTTTTCTGACTGTTCTGCAATTTAACCCTGCTGGTCACAGTCCCCAGTCAGAGGTGATGGGCAGTCTTCCTACCCATTGTCCTGGGTATAAGCATGACTTGGGGCCAGAAGAGTGGGACTAAGGTCTTACAATATGATCACACCAGGAAAACTAGCAGATACTTCAGAGAAAGATCCGAGGTCCTATCAGCCCACGTAACACAAAAAACAGCAGCACTGGAAGCTTTCACTGAAGGGCAAAAACCCCTAACTGCCAGGGTGGCAGATAAGAGACTAGCTCCAGATGATATGCCAGCTTCCCAGAAGGAGTATATGCTCTCAGAGGGCATAGTGTATCCTGCTGGACGTGGATAAATATTGCAAGGCAAAGTAATCCAAATAGCCCAATGGATGTACCACCAAACAGAAACCAAATTCTACATGTGGTACTCTGAACTCCCTAGGACTTGGATGTCCCCTGTAGCCTGGGGTGACCTTGTTTTAGGAGCCCTCCTGCCCACAAGTAGACTTACATACTGCACTGGCTATGTAAAATTGGTACAGCCTATATACAAGTATATTAGCTCTTTGGATGGTGAACCAAATGTTAGGGAGTGAATTTTGAAGAAATTGAGTTGAGTGCAAAAAGTTGCTCCCAGCAAAATGTCATTTGTCCAAATAGTTAACACCCACTGGGGCAGAAACCATCAGGGCACCCCACCCCTCACCACCCACTCAGCCCCACTCACCTCTGCAGCACCTAGTAATCATATGCAAGAAAACTCACCCTTACTCTTTTTGATTGACCACCCCCAGCCTGACCCCCAATGGAGCAGATCACTCAAAATTAATCTTCCCCCACTACCTCCTCTCGGCATTATTCAACAGGTGGGCCCCTGTCCTATATCTACGTAGGTCCCCAGCACCAGGCTCTTTCTCCTCCCCAGAAGTCAGGGAGTCCTCTTCTCAGTGGGGCCCTCAACCAGTGGCTTCCCTCGCTGCCTATGCCTGCATAAGTAATACACCTTTGAATTGCCTGTGATCACCGGGTCAGGTGTGGTGCGTTTTGGCATCCAAGGCTTTTAAATGGGAGAGAACAGCAGATCTGGTTCCTTTCACTGGAATATTGTTATGGTCCAATTCTGCAACCAGCTGACTTCATTACTACCTGTGAACTGCACCTCCAGCTCCTCCAACTGACCCCATACCCAGACCCTTACTTGGGCTGTTTCCTACCAGACACACCTGCTCTGTTAAGAAAACCATTATTGAAATCACCGGCTGTTAATTCCTACTCAGTCCTTAGTAGCCCTGTGAGCTGGAGCAAGTTCTGTAGGCTTTCTGTGACTCAGTTTCATCACCCATAAAATTATGATTACAATACTTACTTCATTAGGGTGTTGCAAGGGCCTAAAAAACACTCTATGTATAGCTCAAAGTACAAGCCTGACAACAAAGGAAGTTTCCAGATAATCGCTCATCAAGGGGCAACTCGATTTTCTGCTTCCTCCAGAAAGCCTTCCATGCTGATGTCCATCCACTCTGATCTCTCCCTAATCCAATCTGATTGCAGTTTTGATCAGCACCTCACTGTTGACCATGGATTTCTTCTCCATTACAAATGTGTTCATTTTGACTTCCAAGTAAGAGATAAAGGTCTTGGAAAGAAGTGATTGCATTTTACCTGGCTCTCCTACTGACTTTCTGTGTCATCTTCCTCTTAATTTTGGGGAGACTGAGTTTCTTTCTCTGGGATGGCAAATACATGGCCTATGTGCCAACACTTTCCCATCCTGAAACCTCAGGACACACACCAGTGTTCTCATCTTCTCTCCAGAACCTGGGTCCAGACTCACAATTCTTCTTAACACAATACTTTGGACAGTGTCTACTAACTTATCTAATAAATATGTTTTGAGTACTTCGTAGGTACCATCCCCCTTGGTCAGTTTCTAGAAGTTAAAACGTTGGACATCTTGTATCTGCACTTATGGAACTCATCCCTTAGTGGAGAAGAAAGACAATATGCAAATACACAAATAAGAAAATATCAAGTAGTGACAAATATAATGATGAAAATTAAATAACGGTGTGTTAGTGCCTGGGGAGGAGGCTATTTTTTAGATCAGGTATCCAGGGAAAGGCCTTCTGAGGTTTCTCCCTTGATCTGGGAGATTGGGTGTGGGCCTAAGAATATGTATTCCTAACATGCAAACGTAGGAAATTTGGGAAACACTGGCATAGTGAATGAGGTGAGGGCATAGTCAGAAGACCTAGGTCTAAATTCCGTCTCCTACATTTATGCAGCTGTATGACCCTGGGAAAGTTATTGAAATTTCTCTCTCACTTTCCTCCTCTGTAAAATTGGAATAATATTACTGATCTCAGGAGGTTTCTTATCAGGATTGAATAAGATCAAGTATTTAAAATGCCTGGCACATAATAAGTGCTCAATAAAAGGTAGGCATTGTTTGCCACAATTAGGTCTATCTATTTATAACCGTAATCTTTTGTTTGAATCACTCAAGAGACAAATCCAATAAATGCCGCTAGGTAATACGGTGTCTGCGTGTTGGCTTTTGCCTCATGAAGCTCTTCCTCTTGAAAAATAAATTTTCAAAAGACATTCCTGTGAGCAAGAATGCCCGAGTCTAAGGAACAAGGGTCATCCAGTTCTCTAGTTTAGGCATGTTTGAGATTTGAAAGGGCTTTGGCCTAATTTCCTCTCCTATCAAATGGGCACCAGGCTACCTGCCCTTTTTCACTCATGGGGGATTTCTGAGACTCAGAGGGATAAGAGATTTGCAAAGCGTGAGACACAAACAGTTGCAGATACAGACAGAACACTTGCTTTCTCAGACCGGCAGGTGCATACAATGGCAAGGCCACCTGATACACCAGTCCTGTTCATTTGGAAAAGGGACAACTCCTTCACATTCACAAGCTGGGCTGGTAAGTGAAGAATAAGAAGAAAAAAAAAAGAAGTCGGCAGGAAGCAGCCTCTTCAACCAGCAAAGAAACCGTTAGAATCCATCCCTGCGCCCTGATGCCAAAGTTCCGCCTGCCCCACCCGTCACGCTATCAAGGACACCCGCCTGCTATCAGAAAGCCCTGGGGGTCTTTTTCCCTAGTTTATCAAGGACCTGTGGAAACATTTCTCTAACTGAAGATAAGAATTTTTTTTCTCTCTCTTTCTCCTTTCTACTTCTAGCTGTCTAAACCAGAGGGTTCCTCTCATTTTCTTTCAGTAACAACTGCTCTGAAAAGAAGATATTTTTCAACCTGAACTTGCAGTAGCTAGTGGAGAGGCAGGTAAGGTGGGTTTCATTAATTCATTTGTTCATTCATTCATTTCTTCCATTATTGTATGCTTCCTGCATGCCAGAAACTGGGCTAAGAAGGCTCTTGGATTTAATCCTGGGCAGAATGAGCTTGAGGTCTTTGGGGAAGCCAGACTGCACTTAACAATTACAAAATGCGGAATTGTAAATTGTGATCTGAACTTGGAGTGAGAGCATACATATTTGAGCTGAGAGACAGTGTGTATAATAATTTTTTAGATTTGGCTCTTGCCCTCCAAGTGGACGTTTTCAGGGTTAAAAAGATGCCTCAGAGCCTAGATGACTTGCTACCATTCCGTGCCAGCCCCGTCTCCCAACCCAAGTCACAATTGCTTGACCCTTGTGAAGGCGAGGATGGAAATGACTTGTTGGAGTGATAGAGAGGCTAGCATAAACCTGCCAAGACCTCCTTCAAGATTTGGTTCATTTTGCAAAAGTTGCCAGATAAAAGATATTTCCAGATGGAGGGCCACGCAGGAAATACAAATGGAATATTTGTTAATAGCTCTTCCTTTGCGAGATATGACCCAAGGCGGCCTTCTGCAATGTGATGGGAAGCACTGTAGCTTGAAAGCGTGAGAGGAGTCAGCAGGCCCACGGCAGTCTCGAAGTCTTTGGAAAGGGGCTCTGGCCTGAGCAGGCATTAAAGATGCTCTGCTCATCAGAGACGCCCCCTTTTCCACCACCACCATCCCAAATGGAGATGGGACCTGCTATACTCTAAGTATGGGATTCTCAGACAGGAGGGCAGATATCTAGAAGAATATTGAGCTCCTTAATGCTGTGGCTTTGCATAATAACAACCTGCACTCTTTTTTTCTGTCCTTGGAGTCAAATGGGCTTCTGCAAAGAAGTTTATCCAGAAGTCAGGGATGAGCACTATTCGAAAAGTCCTAAGTGGGCAGGGATTGCCACTGATTGCACTGAAGAATGTGTTGGAGCTCATGAGACTGGCTTCCCCATAACATTTGGTTGTCGAATGGTTCCACAGATGAACCTGAGAAGACCGTGAGCTCCCTGGAACAATATGTAAAATTTTGCATGTAGGAACAGAGCTACACCTAGGGAATGGTCTTTAACTTTTGTCAGATTTGTTTGGGGCGTGTGGGGGTTAAATACGTACATCGTAAAATTTAACATTTAACCACTCCCAAGGGTACAGTTCAGTGGCATTAAGCACATAAATATTGTTGGGTGACCATCACCACTATATAGCTCTAGAACTTTTTAATGTTTTCCAACTGAAATGTTTTGTCCATTAAACAATAACTATCCCCTCCCCCTAGCTCCTGGCAACCACCATTCGACTTTCTGTCTCTATGTATTTGTTTAAGTACTTCACAAAAGTAGAATCATATATAGTCTTTGTCCTCTCAGGACTGGCTTATATCACTCAATGTCTTCAAATTTCTTTCATGTTGTAGCTTATGTCAGAATTTCCTTTCTCTTTAAGGTGGAATCATATGTGTTTGCATGTATATATATGATATGTATATATATGATATATATGATATATATCATGTGTATGTATGATATATATATCATGTGTATATATGATATATATATCATGTGTATATATGATATATATATCATGTGTATATATGATATATATATCATGTGTATATATCATATGTATATATATGTACACATAAAATAGTATGCGTATATCACTTTAAAAAATCCATCTGTTGATAGACACTTGGTTGCTTCCACTTTCTGGCTATTGTGAATAGTACTGCTGTGAACATGGGTGTACAAATATTTGTTTGAGTTGCTGTTTTCAATTCTTTTGGGTTTATGTCCAGAATGGAATTGCTAGATCATATGGTAATTCTGTTTTTAATTTTTTGAGGAACCGGCATACCGTTTTCAATAATGCCTGCACCATTTTACATTCCCACCAGCAATACACAAGTACTCCAAACCCTCCAGATCCTCACCAGTACTTGTTAACACTTGTGCATTAGCCATCCTAATGGGTATGCAGTAGTATCTCATTGTAGTTTTGATTTGCATCTCTAATAATTAGTGATGTAGAACATCTTTTCATGTGCTTATTGGCCATTTGTATGTCTTTTTTGGAGAAATGGAGATTCAAGTTCTTTGCCCATTTTGAAACTGGATTGTTTAAATCCAGACAGAGCTTGTCTTGCTCTGTCGCCCAGGTTGGAAGCGTGATCTTGGCTCTGTCGCCCAGGCAGTGGCACGATCTCAGCTCACTGCAACCTCTGTCTCCCTTCCTGGGCTCAAGTGATTCTCCTGCCTCAGGCTCCTGAGTAACTGCGATTACAGGCACACACCATCACGCCCGGCTATTTTTTTTTTTTTTTTTTTTAAGTAGAGACAGGAGTTTCACTATGTTGGCCAGGCTGGTCTCGAACTCCTGACCGCAGGTGATCCACCCACCTCAGCCTCCCAAAGTGCTGGGATTACAGGTGTGAGCCACAGTGCCCGGCCTATATGTTCTAGATCTTAATCTCTTATCAGATATATGATTTGTAAATATATTATTCCATTCTGTGGGTTGCCCTTTCACTCTGTTGATGGTGTCTTTTGATGCACCAAAGTTTTAAATTTTGATGTAGTCCAATTTATCTATTTCTAATTTTGTTGCCTGTGCCTTTAGAGTCATATCCAAGAAATCTTGCTAAATCCAATGTCATGAAGCTGTTCCCCTGTGTTTTCTTTAAGAATGTTATAGTTACCAGGTTTTTAAAAGGTTTGTGACAATGCATGGGCTATCTTCAATAATGATTCTGGAGTGGCCTTCCTCACCAAAGCAAAGACACTCAGGGCTTTGTAAATATCAGTGTGAATCTAGGAACTGGGCAATTGATAACATGGATGTGATATTTGAAGGCTTCAATTCAAAAGGAATGATTAAGTATCTCCATATCTATATCAGTACCCTGGGAGCTAGTGAAGATGAAAACCATGGTCTCTCTTCTCCAAGGACTTAAGGCAAGATGTTGCAGGCACACACGTGAAATTATTGCATTGCAAGGCAGAATCTAATGAGGCACCTAGCTAGGCACTAGGACCAAGGGCTATAAGAACTCAGAAAGGGATCACCACCATGAGCTTCAGGGGACAGAGAAACCTTCAGGGTAAAGATGTAGCTTGATCTGGGTCCACATTGGACAAGATTTGGAGAAGCAGAGAAGACTGGAGAGGAATTTGTACTAACTGCAATAATCATTGCCATTTACTGAGCACCTACTATGTTCCAAGCACTGTGCTCTGCCCACTGCATACATTATCTCAATGACTACTCCTAACCCTACATTTATCATTGTCTGTATTTTATCATTCAAAGCACTGAAGCTCAGAGATTTTCCTAAGATGACCCAGATAGTAAGTTGTAAAGCAGAGACTTGAAGCCAGGTTTATTTATCTCAAAGCCTCTACTCTTAATCACTCTACTATTCTAGTACCAAAGCTTTAGAACAGGGAGAAAGCAGACATCCCCGATAGAGAGAAAAGAGTAACACAGTGCACAGAAATGGCACAAGCAGGATATTTAAGATCAGAGAGGAGAACAGGCTGGATGGGAAGGTTCAGGGTCCAGGACTGTGGGATGTAAAGTTGGATCAATGGAGTGAGCAGGATTACAGGGTGCCTTTAATGGGAAATTTGGTCTCGACCTGCTAGAATGACAGAATCACACATAGAATTTCAGCTCTAACCTTCCAGTCTGCCTCTTTTCTCTATAAAATGAGAAAATTGAGGTCTCAAGAGGTTAAGCAACTTGTGGATGGTCATGGACGATAGGGAACTATTGCAAATTCTTGAGCATGGTGTTGACAGGGAAGAAAACAGTATTCCAGATCAGTTAGTGTGGCAGTAAAACACATGAGGGGTGACTGAAGGGAAGCAGCAAAAACTGGCAGAAAAAACAAGCAGCTCTTTCTCTGTTTTTTTTTGCCAAAGGATACCTCCCTCAACAATGGGCATTCCTAGGGAGCATCATTAACAAGATTCCAGCTCTACTCCTTCCTGCTGAGGTTTGTCGCTTAAGAATCTGGAGACAGGTAGGGTGCAGTGGCTTACACCTGTAATCCTAGCACTTTGGGAGGCCAAGGCGTGTAGATCACCTGAGGTCAGGAGTTCAACACCAGCCTGACCAATATGGTGAAACCCTGACTCTACTACAAATACAAAAATTAGCCAGGCGTGGTAGTGTGCACCTATAGTCCCAGCTACTCAGGAGGCTGAGACAGGAGAATCACTTGAAACCGGGAGGCAGAGGTTGCAGTGAGCTGAGATCACGCCACCGCACTCCAGCCTGGGTAACAGAGTGAGACACTGTCTCAAAAAAAAAAAAAAAAAAAAAGAATCTGGAGACAGCTTGTAGGGGCAAGTGCTATCAGAAAGGTCAGAATCACCTTCCCCTGCCAGGCTCAGTGCCCTTTGATGGCCCAGATGCCAGAAAACACAGCTGCCCCAGCAGCGACCTGTCCTCATCCTCCCCACTTCCTCCAATAGAAAGCCTGTCTAGGGTGCAATGGCTTAGATCAGAGACACGTGACTCTGAAGAGCCAATGGCCAGGAATGGCTTCTGGCACCTTCTTTATGTTGCCTTCCTGAATGTGAGCCTGGGCCAGGCCTCTGTGAACCTAACTCACCTGTCCCATGGAGGCCACCATACCAGGAGAGGTAAGACAAGACACTCCGTTCCCCAGGCAAGAATGTTGACCCCACCTTACTTGAACTAAGCCCTTGTAGGGCAGAACTCCACTTATCCATCTATGTCCAGCAAAGAAAGCCCTGCCCTGGTTGACTATTGTCCTCTGAGGTTCTCTTTGCTTAGTTAATTCTAATAATAGCTGCCATCCATTGAGCACTTATTCTATGTTGATCACTGGGCTCAGCATTTGGCATGCATGATTTCATTTTATTCCTACAACCCCATAATGAAGATATTGTTATCCCTGTTTTGCACATGATGAAACTGAGGTTCAGGGCTGTTAAATAATTTGCCTAAAACCATGTACTTAAAGGAGCCAAGACTCAAACACAAGCCTTTCTCTCTCCAAAGCCTTTGCTTTTACTCATATGATTGACTGCATTCTACACTTTAGTCCTTGTAGAGGGTAGAGGTTCTGCAGTGGAGAGTCAGGCTTCAAAGAGTGGCCTTGTTAATTCCAGACACCACCTGTTTCTCTGTTCCTGGGAGCCAAGAGCCTGATCTCTTTCCCAAACCAAACTCTTGGTTCCAAATATAAATGGTATCTGGACCATTATTCTTCTCCCAGTAATGATGCTCAAGAAAAACAAAGGACCTTGAAGTTCCTTCTACACTTTCACCCAGAGGGCATCATGCAGGCATGCTTTGGCCAAGGGGAATGGTGCTGCCATTTGTACAGTCATTCTTTTAATGAATATTTATTGAGGGCCAGCCACACGTTAGGCACGTTCTAGGTGCTGAAGACACAACTGGGAACAGGTCAGAAAGAGTTTCCACCCTCACAGAGTTTACATTCTAGCTGGGAGGAAAGGCCAAAACAAAACACACACCAAAACCCTGCACATACATCTGTAGTAAAGAGAAAATAGTGATGATGCTAGGAAGAAAAACAAAGAAGGATAACGGGGATGGAGAGTGAGGAGAAGAAGGATTTTATAAAGCCCTCTGAGGATGAAATATTTGAACAGAGACCTGAATGAAGTACATGGGAGCCATGGGGTGATCCAGGGGGAAAGCATTGCAAGCAGAGAAAAGGGCAAGTGCAAAAGCCTTCCAGTAGGAGTCAGCTTGGTTTGTTTTAAGAACCAGAAAGAAGGCCAGTGTGGTTCAGGCAGACAGAGTGAAGGGGCATGCTGGAGAAAAGGACAGGGGGGCAGCAGAGGCCAGATAATAGGGCCTTCCAGGCCACAGTGAATTTGGATCTCAAATATACTGTGCCGGGGTCCCAGGCACTGTGGTGTGTCACTCAGGTGTGGCACCTCTGCATAGCTACAGAGAGGAGACAGGCTGCCTAAACAAAGAGCACAAAGACAGCTCAGTGAGTCAGCTCACCTGGCTCTGACTCCCACCTTGAACTTGAAGCAGCAAATAAAGCTCAGGGTTTGGTACCCAAAGGAGAAGGTGGGGGAAGGTTTGACAATGGCCTGAGGTGGAAGAAGGAGCTGTTGACCCTGTATGTCTCATTTGCTTTGTCCATCAAAGGGTCTGAATTATCAATGGGTGCTCAAACTTTTTTTTTTTTTTTTTTTGAGAAGGAGTTTTGCTCTTATCGCCCAGGCTTGAGTGCAACGGCACGGTCTCAGTTCACTGCAACCTCTGCCTCCCAGGTTCAAGCAATTCTCCTGCCTCAGCCTCCCGGGTAGCTGGGATTACAGGCGTCAGCCACCTCGCTTGGCTAGTTTTTGTATTTTTAGTAGAGATAGGGTTTCATCACGTTGGCCAGGCTGGTCTCGAACTCCTGACATCAGGTGATCCACCCACCTCAGCCTCCGAAAGTGTCAGGATTATAGGCGTGAGCCACCTCGCCCGGCCGCCCAAACATTTTAAAGTTAGAATCTCTTTTTATAAGCAAAATTTTCCATAGAAGGTGACTATGTGCCACTTTCCTCTCCAAGCACCTGATCTGCTTCATTTCACAGAATCCTTAGAACAGCTCCACGAGTAGGTACTCTGAATACTCCCGCTTTACAGATGTGGAAGCTCAAATGCAGAGAGGTTGGGCAACATGCCCAAGGTCAATGAATGCAGAACTGCTGCAGTGGGAGCAGGGGTGGGTGACACCCACTAGGGAGGTGCTTTCAAACTCCTACTGCTCCAAGGAGCAAGCTAGAAAATCCCACTTCTCAGGCCCCTTCCACTAGGACACACTATGAGCTTAACACTGCTAAGAACTCACTGAGGAATGGTGACATTTGGGGGCGGCTCCTTCAGTGCTTTGTTTGGCTTCTTTTTTAAATTATAAATGGTGGTTTGAAAGTTGTTGGAGGGGAAAATCAGATGAAATCAGGGATGTGGCTGAAGCAGTCAGTGTAGCAGTGTAGCAGAGAAGCAGAGAAGCTGTCAGCAGCCTACCCAGGCCCCGAAATGGGCACAGCCCTGCATTTCTGGCCTGAGGCTTGCCGAGGTCTTAGGTGAACTTCAGCTCTTTCTACAGCACCCCAGTCTCAGCACTCTTTGGTGGATGTCCTGATTGGCTGGGAGATTGTTGCTTCCTGATACAGTGGTGATTACTTCTGAAAGATGGGGTAATACCAACAGCTATCGTTTCTGACCATTTACTGTGCAGCATCACTGTGCAAAGTATTTTTATACATATCCTATTGACTCCTCTCAAAACTCCTGTGAGGCAAGCAGGCACCCCAGTGGCCTCATCCTAGTTCTGGCCCTGGTGACATTATGATTGCCTCCATCCTCCATTTGATAGGTACAGAAACTGAGGTTCAGAGAAGTGAAGTAAATTCCCCCAGATCACGCAGCTAGCAAACAGCTGAGCTTCTATGCTCATCCTAAGGCTCGGTTGAAATGGATTTTTTAAAAGATGTATTTTGGGCTCTTTACTATATAGAAAACCGAATCTGTTTATCACTAAGGTTACTAATAGGCCTTACATCTGTGAAAACTTATCTGTCAGCTGGCCCTGAAATGTTCTGAAATGAGTCTGAGCACAGGATGCCTGTGACAACCGAATAGTTTAAAAAAATTCTCCATGGGAGCCGAAACCCTATTAAGACAGGTCTTTATTTTTGTTCCTGAATGCCACATTTAGAAACAAAATGTCATATTTTTGTATATGAATGTCACAAGTGACAAAGCATATGTTGCAACTTGGCTTCTAATGGTTGAAAAAAAAAGAGAGGTAAATTATCATAATGTTGGGATCTTCTCAATTATATTTGCATTTTCATTTCTATCAGAAGTCCATTTTAGCAAAGGAATGTAACCTTAGTCACTTGAAACTGCTGTTCCCTTAGAAAACAATTGTAAATGTAATAAGCAAAAAGGATAGAAAATGCCCACAGGGGAAAAAAATGATCCATCTGGGGTCAGAGCCATCGTGTAGATTGATTCATTCTTCTTCTAGCATTCTTATTCAGGAAGGAAAACTTGAACATTTTCTAGATTTTAGGATATTTAAGATTTGCAAGGAATTGGGGGAAAGGGAAAAGGAATGAAATTTCAGTCCCACTGGCAGGGATCAAATAGAGATTTTCTCAACTTTTAAAAGAACCGTTTTACATGTCCCAATCACCTCATAGTTCCTGAGTCTCTCTTCTGCATAAGGCATGTACTAGTTGTTAAGGGAGGATACAATAAGGTCATGATTGCTTTAAAATTATTCATAATAAAAACACATTTTGAGACTTGATTCTAAATGTTAAACTTAAATTTGAGCAATTTAATTGCCCGTTGAATAGGAATGAAATCCCACCGGTAGGCAGTTATTTCTTACAACCACTGTGTGTGAAATTGAAATCTTAAGATACCATTTCAAATATTCACCTTCTCTAAGGAAGTTCTCCCCAAAGAGTTGTGAAAGATAAGAAACTGACCCAAAGTCATATGCAGTAATCTCTTTTTCTTTACACACTCAGGTCAAAGTAGAAGCATATTATTAAAAAGAAACGTTATGCCCTGAATTTGGCTGTTCTGAGGTTACCTCTTGGAACCCAAGGATATATTTAATTTAAAAACTGACTTGAGCCCCATGCAAAACTGTGACAAGGAAAGTAATAATTTATCAGATTAAATAAAAACAAGCAGATGTGGCCAGGCGCGGTGGCTCATGCCTGCAATCCCAGCACTGTGGGAGGCTGAGGCAGATGGACCGCCTGAGGTCAGGAGTTTCAGACCAGCCTGGCCAACATGGTGAAACCCCGTCTCTACTAAAAATACAAAAAATTAGCTAGGCGTGGTGGCGAGCGCCTGTAATCCCAGCTACTCGGGAGGCTGAGGCAGGGAAAATCGCTTGAACCCAGGAGGCAGAGGTTGCAGTGAGCTGAGATCGCACCATTGCACTCCAGCCTGGGTATCAGAGCGAGACTCCATCTCAAAAAACAAACAAACAAACAAATAACACCCAAGCAGATGCAAACAGGTCATTTAGTCACCACGATAATGAACGTTAAAATGGAAAACACTTACATGTTTTATTTAGGAGAAGAAGGGGGTGAGGTGAAGGAATCCTGTTTCCTGCTTTTAAAAAACAGGAAATAGTTTCCAAATTTGGGTGGGCAATTCTTATTTTAAACCCCCATTTCACCTTTAAATTTAATTTCAAGCTCTTTTAAAATTATCTTAATGATGCCCTTTACTATAACATAGCAGCTGCCATTTATGAGTGCTTACTATATACCAGTTGCTTTTCATGCAAGCAACTTCATATCTGTTATTACCCCCATGCCATTACAAATCTATGTGCCACCCTTTTGTGCACTAACTCATATAATCCCCACAATAACTTAGGCAATAGGTTCTGTCGTCTCCATTTTACAGATGAGGATACTGGGAGTTTATTTGTTTGTTTGTTTATTTATTTTGAGACGGAGTCTCACTCTGTCACCCAGGCTGGAGTGCAATGGCGCGATCTCTGCTCACTGCAACCTCTGCCTCCTGGGTTCAAGTGATTCTCCTGCCTCAGCCTCCCGAGTAGCTGGGGTTACAGGCATGTGCCACCACACCTGGCTAATTTTTGTATTTTTAGTAGAGATGGGGTTTCACCATGTTGGGCAGGCTGGTCATGAACTCCTGACCTCAAGTGATCCACCCGCCTCGGCCTCTCAAAGTGCTGGGATCGCCTCGGCCTCTCAAAGTGCTGGGATTACAGGTGTGGGCCACCGAGCCCGGCCAGGATACTGGGAGTTTAAATTCCTGCTGTGAGCCCAGGTTGACACAGCTGGTCAAGGATGGGTTAGAATCCAGGTAGTCTGACTCCAGAGCTACTACCGCATACTGCCTCCTCAGATTAAATAATTTTCCTAGGACATGCTAACTGATAAGTAAGAGTCTAAATCAAACCCAGGCAGTTGGGTTCCAAAATTCCAGCGTTTAACCACCACATTGACTGGTTATAAGTAGGTAAACTGTTCATCACAACCTATATATTTATTTTCATTTCTGTTAGAAATGAAAGTAGTGTGGTAGGTTACATATTTATCACATAGTTTAGGCTTGCCTAAATTCTAAGTATTTTCTTTTTTAAATTAAAAACAAGGGTCTATCGGAAAAAAAAAAACCCAACTTTTTTTTTTTTTTTTTTTTTTGAGACAGGGTCTCACTCTGTTCCCCAGACTGGGGGGCAATGGTGCGATCATGGCTCACTGCAGCCTCAACCTCCTGGGCTCAAGCAATCCTCCCACCTCCGCCTCCCGAGTAGCTAGGATTTCAGGCAAGCACCACCACGCCCAGCTAATTATTTTTATTTTTTATTTTTTGTAGAAACGGGGTCTCACTGTGTTGCTCAGGCTAGCCTGGGTCTCCCAAAGTGCTGGGATCACAAGCATGAGCCACCGAGCACAGCCGAAAAAGTCTTTTTGTATACTGAAGTCTCCACTAGGACAAAAATTTGCTCTTAAGGCTTCCTTTGGGACACACACACACACACACACACACACACACACACACACACAGCTTTTGATTATACCCATTAGGGACCCAAGCCTTGGGACACAGGGACCAGAAAATGACAAGAGCATGCAGGCAGTAGTAAACTCTGGTTATCCTTAAAATGGGAACAGAAATGTATGCCTATGATCCAGACTGATCATATAAAACCATGGATCCTGAAAGTACGTTCCCTCTTTACAAGCCTTAATGACTGGCATCACGCACAAATAGGCCTTTCAGCTTCTGAACGCAGATATTTTCAAGGAACTCTGAGGCCCAGGAGAGCCTAAGTTTTTCTCCACGGAAGGGCAAACTACTAGCCTCCCCCGCTTCCCCTCTGCGTTCCTGCCTCTTTCTAGAAGGAGGCTGAGAGGGGGAAGCCTGAACCCCCAAATCAAGTCCGCCTTCTTTCTCTGTGCCTGACCCAGGGCAAAATAATCTCTCTGATCCTGTTCTTGACCATTGAAAAAGCACTTTCTCTGGTCGGGATACTACTGGCACTTTACATGGGGGGCAGTTTAACCGCAGGAGTCCGCTTTCTGAAAGGTGCAGAGGGAGGGGATTCCGCCACCAGCCGACTGAGAGGAGCCCCGGCCCCGCGTGGTCCCTCCCAGCCACCCTCCCTCTGGGATTAGCTGCCCTGGCTCTGCTCTAGGCGTCCCCAGCCCGTGCAGTCCCGGCTGGCGCACCACCATCGCCTCTGCAGAGCGCGGCCGCAGCCCGGAGCCCGCAGCCCGGAGCCCGCAGCCTGGGGCCCGCAGCCCGTAGCCCGCAGCCCGCAGAGCCGCGCTGTCCGGGGCATCCCAGTGCACGGCGTCCGTGGACCTGGGACCTCGAACCTGGGACGGGCGGAAAATCCACTGGGAACACTTGCATTTCTGTAGGTGCTTATTTCACATTCTTGTCTTTTCTTGCTTGCTCGAGCTGTTCGTGGGTTACTTTCTGCCTTAGTTAAACCAAAAGGGAAAGGCGGAAGAGGGGAAGCCCTGAAGAATGATTTAGTGGTTGCCCAGCCTCCTTTCCAAGGAGAGGTGTTCGCTGAGCGGCTCTCCCCGTCCCCGACACTGGCCCCTTTAAGAAGCCAAGTCAGTCCTGATGCTGCTGTTTGTATTGCTAATCCCCAGGAGCCCCGTTTAAAAAAAAAAAAAAAAAAAGGAAGAAAAAAGGGGAGGTGGGGGGACCGGGCAGCTGTCTCTTTAAATGTGATTTCCTTCTATTGTATTTGAATCGTGATCAGGAAAAAGGAAATGAAACCAGAGACAGAGGGAAGCTGAGCGAAAATAGACCTTCCCGAGAGAGGAGGAAGCCCGGAGAGAGACGCACGGTCCCCTCCCCGCCCCTAGGCCGCCGCCCCCTCTCTGCCCTCGGCGGCGAGCAGCGCGCCGCGACCCGGGCCGAAGGTGCGAGGGGCTCCGGGCGGCCGGGCGGGCGCACACCATCCCCGCGGGCGGCGCGGAGCCGGCGACAGCGCGCGAGAGGGACCGGGCGGTGGCGGCGGCGGGACCGGGATGGAAGGTTAAGTCCTGAGCAGCAGCAGCAGCTGCAGCCGCCTGGAGCCAGGCTGCGCGCCCCGGCCCCCGCCTCGGCCGCGGCGCGCCCGCAGCCCGGTGATTCGCTCTCTCTCTTTGGCGTTTGAAGGGAGCGCGGTGACTGTCCTTGAGCGCGGAGGGGCGAGCTCGCCGGCGGAGCGCCGGAGCAAGCGGAGGCGCAGGAGCGGCGGCGACGGCGGCGGCGGCGGCGGCGCCCGAGCACCCGAGGGGGTCCGAGCCCCGGCAGCCGGCCAGCCCCGCGCCACAAAGGGAGCGCCCCCGCCGCCCGGCACCCCGCCTCCCTCCCCAATGTCCTCGGCCATCGAAAGGAAGAGCCTGGACCCTTCAGAGTAAGTGCGGCCCCCCTGCCCCTGCCACCCCCGGTGTCCACGGCCTCGCGTCCCGGAGCGTCGGGGGGACCCGGGCGGCCCGCGAGGGGGCTCCAGGTGCGCGCTCGCGGCGTGCCCTTGGCCCCCTGTGCCGAGCGCTGGGCTCCTCCTTCCTCCCGGGTGATTCCGGGGGCTCTGGGAGAGGGACTGGGCGGCGGGCGGCAGGGACAGGGGTCGGCCCGGCGCCTCTGCGGGCCACTCCAGGCTACTGGGACGCTCCCCAAAGCCACCACGGGCCAGAAAGTTTGCACGGGAGCAGGCACGAGGAGAGCCTGGAGGCGCGCAGGTGCAGTCCGGAGAGCGTTCTGGGCTTGACTCTGCTCCCTTCTTCCCTCTCCTTCTCGGTCCTTTCTCTTTGTCCATTTGGTCTTGGAAAGGGGAACATTCCAAGTGGCGGCCTCCGGGGTCCCCAACGGCCGCCTTCCCGGTCCGCAGGTGGAGCCGCTGCCAGCCTTGCGGATAACGGGCGGGTGAGGGGTCCGACCGTCCACCTCGGAGCTGGCTCTGGGCCTCCAGGGATTTCTAGAGCAGCGAAATCCGGAGTAAATCTGAGTAGGTGTACCCCTCCTCGGGGTCCACCGATGGGGACATGTGAACCTCGAAAGTTAATGCACCATTTTGTGTATAGGTGAATTATTCTGGGGAGTAGAGTCTCGTAGTTTTTAGCAGAGTCTTAAAAGGGTTTGGGGTCAGGGAACCAGAGCTCTAATGAGCATTGGCCGCATCTGTTTTCTGAGCCGCGTACTGGTTTGGAATGTTTTTCTATCCCTCACCCATTCTTCAGCGTTAACATGGGGAGTAAGGGGTGTTTAAGATATCATTTTCCTGTCAACGCAAATGCCCTTTTAAGAGTCATTAGCTGTCTGGTTTTGAGAATTTTTATTCCTTTGAAGTCCCCCTCTAATCCTTTGAAGGGATTTGTTACACAAGACCAAAGGAGCTGGTTAATGACTTGTCCATTTGTGCTTTTAAGAGACATTTGTTTTGTTTTTTCTTTTCCTGCTTTAAAAGAATTGTGCTTTCCTGCTTGAAATACCGCACACACACACATACACCCTTCAATTTCGGCTTTCTATGGTGTTTATTTACCTGGGTTTTACCCTCAGTTACCAGCATAAAAGCTCAACATATTCTCATAAAACACAGGAAGTACCACCATCCAATGAGAATATAAACATCACTATTCAGTCTTGAAGGTTAAGACACCAGTTCTGTAATGAGCTAGGTTTGTTATAACAAAAACCCCCACTTCCTTCAACAAATTCTCAGGAGAAAAATAACATTCCTTTTTAAAAGTATGTTTATGCAAACAATGGGTTTAAAGGGTGGTTTGATCACTTTTTTAAAATAAACTTAAAACTGAGCTCTGAGTTTCAGAGACTGGGCAAGATCATAGTAACACAATAAGGGAGTGAATTGGATGAATTGGTGCCTCATGCCTTTTTGATCAGCAGAATTTAGTCACTAATCCTTTCAATAGAAGATTAATCTGAAGGTTTCATTTCCCTGAAGGAAGTTTGCTTCTTTCAAAGTTTGTGCTTTTTCACTGAGGTTAGAAACTGAAACATCCTAACTTCCTAATACAACAGATATCTACTGCTGGAGGCTCACCAGCTCCTTCCTTCACTTCACTATTTGCCCAACGAAGACAGATTCTGATCAAAGAGGGACAAGCCAGTTGAGAAATTGCTGCAGCACATTCTCCCCATGCCCTTAGAAATTGTTATGATTGTCCCAGAAATCCAGGCTTAAATGATACTCAGGTGTAATATTCAAGATAAGGGTCTGGGAGAATATAAAATATTAATTTGAGGGTGAATCAATCTAATTCAGTCATTGTCTTGGATTGTCCACTAAGTATAATGTGATATTATCATTAATTAAGTATAGAAAGACAGAGCCAATATCTTATACTTTACTTCTCCATCTCATCTCAGGCCATCACCGTAACTCTTTTACTTTACATTCCTCCTGTTGTCCAGTATCCTACTAGATGCTTCATTGTGTACTTCCTCAAATCCAGCTTGGGTCATTACAATCAGCATCTCCAAATTACAGATGGAGACTTGCCTAGCTATATGCAAATGAAACATTTGGACAGAAAGCCAGCCAGAATTCATGAACACAGATTCCCTTGCTGTGCTACTGGTGGCCCCCACTGCCTCCCCTGTGAGTAACAAGAGCAGTTCATTTGAATTCCAGGCAGTTTTGCACCAGCTAAGGGCAAATTCTCTTCTTTCACAGTCCTTTGGCAGCATCAACATCGGGACATCCAATGTGCGTCCAGGTTCCATGAGTGGTTTTGAAAGCCCAGAGTAAGACCATGGGCTGTGGAAAGAGAAGAGATGCAACTCTGAGTTGATACACATGAAAAAGCTAGGGTATTAGTTATTAGAAGGGGAAATGGCAGTCCTTATATACAATCTGTAGAAACAAAGGAAAGAAAGCAAGGCTTCAGTGAATGAAACCTCGTCTCTACTTAAAATAAAAAAAATTAGCTGGGCCTGGTGGTGGACACCTGTAATCCCAGCTATTCGGGAGGCTGAAGCGGGAGAATCACTTGAACCCAGGAGGTGGAGGTTGCAGTGAGCCGAGATTGTGCCATTGCACTCCAGCCTGGGCAATAAGAGTGAAACTGTGTCTCAAAACAAACAAACAAAAAACTATAGTTTTGAATTTTTTTGAGCTAGGGTCTCACTGTGTTGTCTAGTCTAGAGTGCAGTGCTCACTGCAGCCTCAACTTCCTGGGCTCAGATGATCCTCCCACCTCAGCCTCCTGGGTAGCTGGGACTACTGGCTCATGCCACCAAGCCTGGGCAATTTTTTATATGTTTTGTAGAAACAGGATTTTGCCACGTTGCCCAGGCTGGCCTCAAACTCCTGGGCTCAAGTGATCCTCCTGCCTTGGCCTCCCAAAGTGCTGGGATTACAAGCGTGAGCCACTGTACCTGGCCATTTTTTTTCCCCAGATAAACTAACTTGAGCTTCCCATTTTCTTGTTCCAAAGATGATAGTCTCATGAAGTGCTGTTACACTGTGTCTAGAAAGTGTGGGCATGGCTTTAGCACTCCTAAATATTCATAAGGAACACTTCATACTTCACATGACGGGATCACCTGAAGTTGTCAGAGTGTTATAGACATTGAGCCACCTAGCCTCCTGTCCCCAAGTATAATGGCTGCTGGGCTTTATGGGCACAGACCAATTAGGACACAAGGTCGCCTGGTAAGTTAGTACCAGTTAGAAATAGGAGACATGGATTTATACCTGCAGGGTACCCAGGAGGAAACTCCCTTTGGGAATTTTACAGATGGAAGAAGGTCTGTTTTTTGAAACATAATAGATTTTTAAGAAATAGATTTGTGTTTAAGTAAGGTTCCAGAGAACACTTGCTAATTATTATAAATCAACACGTATTAAGTGTTTGCTGTGTCCCATGTGGGGGACACTAGAATAATTCCTTCCACTCCTTTATTTTCTTTTAGCAAAGTTATTTATTTTTAAATGTAAAAATGTATTCAGATTCCAGTGAAGCAAAGTGAACAGGAGATGCTATGCATGGCGTATTAACGAAAGAACACGTGTCACAGCCTATTAACAATTGCTGGATTGAGATGTCAGTGTCTGTTTAATTGCCTTCCACTCTCTTTGAAATAATCATTGCCCCCACTTCATTTTCTTCCTCAAATCAACTTTATCCAAATCAATTTTACTCTTATAAAAATGTTCAGGTAAGGAAAGAAAGGCCTATTTGATGTCCTTCGTGTAACAATGGCCTTACGATATGGGATTTTCCTCCAAGTATTCCTTCAGTAGGAAGAATGGAAAATGGAATTTCTGTAAAAAAGTAAAATTAGGAGAATTCCTATTATGTCCTGATGGAATTTTGATTTTGGAAAGAGAAAGCAACCTAAAATAATTTTTGGTCTCATTCTTCTTTCTTCCTCACCTCTGCTTTTGTGCAGTTGGTTAGGGCTGGAGGGAGGATGGCACTGGGGATTTGCAGATTCTTAGCACTCTGGGTCATCTGCTGCCCTGGCAGTGAGCGACTCTTTTAGTCCAGAGTGCGTCCTTTGAGGTTAGGCAGTGCCCTTGGGTGTCCAGGTTATGGGAGGAGGAAAATGAGGGAGATCTGTGAAGATAGAGTCAGCGGGGAGAGTGGGAAAAAGCAGAAGGAGACCAGAGGTGCCCAGGTAGTGCTGGGCATGGGCAGGGGCACAGTGCCACCTGCAATTGCCTTTGATGCCTCTTGGTGCCCTGTGTTTACTTCTTAGACATCTAGGGAGTAAGGTCTGGCTCTTTCCCGTCTTAACCCAAGGTTGGTTGGGACTCTGCAGTCTGGCCAAGGGATGTGTTGTCCTGTCCCTTCTCCCTTAGGTCACTGAAAGGCAGTCAGGTGAGATGCCCTGTCTGGCCCAAAACGATCTCGGACCCTCGGTGCTGGTCTCACTCTGGTGAGGCTGTCCCTGATGCTTGGCCTTCTCTCCAGGGAACCAGTGGATGAGGTGCTGCAGATCCCCCCATCCCTGCTGACATGCGGCGGCTGCCAGCAGAACATTGGGGACCGCTACTTCCTGAAGGCCATCGACCAGTACTGGCACGAGGACTGCCTGAGCTGCGACCTCTGTGGCTGCCGGCTGGGTGAGGTGGGGCGGCGCCTCTACTACAAACTGGGCCGGAAGCTCTGCCGGAGAGACTATCTCAGGTACCCTCCCCGGCACTCCACTGGGCCCTCGGAAGGGAGGCTGGGTGGTCCATGGACATCTGCAGTCGGTGTGTGTTGCCCCTTACCCTGCTCCAGGCTCGGACACCACCTATAGAAAGAGGTCAGACTGCAGAGGCTGAGTCTCAGCTCCTGTGCTGAGAAGCAGAGGGCATTTCTTCCTGTTTGAGAAGCATGTTCTCAGGGTTACGTTCCTATGTGGTAAAATACTAATATCTTTAAAGGCAAGAGAATTGTATACCCAAAATTCAGAAAAGTGCTTCCCTTGGGGAGCGGGAGAAGCTAGGGGATGGGATTGAGGAGGAGTACACACGGAGGATCAGAGGGACTGGGAGTGTTTCTAAGTTTGGAGGTGGGCTCTGAGGACCTCATTTGAATGCTTCAGAACATATATGTATGTTATAAATTTTTTTTGTATGACTCCAGTATTATATGATGAGAAATTTAAAAATAGAAAGCATATGGAGCTCCAAGCATTGACTCATAGCAGGAAGGCAGTCTTCGAAGAGCAGAAAGGCAAAGGCCCTGTAGGCAGTTGGAGGTTTGAGTCCCAATACCATTGCTTCCCAGCTTGGTGGCCTTGGGCAAGTTATTTAACCTTCCTAAGCCTCGATTTCCTTATCTGTAAAATGGGGATGATAATAGCACCTACCTCTAAGGATGTGGGGAGGATTTGATGGAATAATGCAGATAAACTACTTGGCTTGGTATGGATCAAATAGATGTTAGCTGCTCTTACATAATCATTATTTTCCAATCTAATGAGCAAAGGGATGGAAGAATGGAAGAGTAAAATAGGAACTCGACAACACCAAGTAAGACAGGAGCTGAGGACATCTCCCATGCTCTGGGCCATCCTATTGGCCATCCGAATTTTCCAGCACTGTGTGAAAGCCTTTGCCTAGAATGTACTAGTGTTTCTAGTTTCCGATGAGCTGCTGTGGAGGTAACTGTCTCTGTGCCCTCTACTGTCAGATCTGCTCAACTGTGTAGCTGTCAGTATTTCTCCGTTTTCCTGGAGCAGAGGGTCTGTGAAGCATGCTTCCCTGATACACCAGGACCATCCAACCCATGGAAGCTTGTTGAGACCTCAGCGCCCTTGGCTGCTGGGCCAGCTTTTCCTCCCAAACCTGCCCTCAGAGCATTTTACATTATAGAAACAAAACAAAACCAAAAAAACTGCAGGCAGTTTCACAGTGAAGGAAGCTTTACCTAAAGACTGTTAGAAGAAGCTTTTTGTCCTTGAATTCCCAGATAAAGTTCTTGCAGTCCTTGCAGATATGGTGGTTCCGAGAAAATAAGTAGGATTTTGCAATGATCATGCTTATAATTTTGGTCAGTTTTCTTTTTTTTAAGTCACAGAAAATAGAACTTGGATAAATACAGACCTGGTTTTGCTCACTCCCAGTTTGCCAAGTCAGTGAGAGGGCAGACGGGTAAATGATTCCCATCGGACCCTTGACTCCATCCCTGTCAAATCATTTGAATCTTATTAACTGAAGTGCAGATAGAGTAAGGTCAGAAGAGCCCCAGCTTCTCCCTATCTCTACCGTTTTATATAACATTCAGGAATAAAACCAGTGCTGCCTGGGCTTGTTAATCCTTTCCATTTTCAAAAAGGAGAGGAAAAAAAAAACAGTCTGGGAGAACCCAATGTTAATTAACTTGTGTCTTGGTGACATGAAATAATTCTTCTCCCTGCCACATTCCTAGGCAACATGTTAATTAACTCTGCATTAGTGCAGGCATTTCCAGCCATTCTTTAATATTTATATTATTGTTATTAAAATGGGCAGCAGAGAGCTTAAGATGGGACATCTCTTGACAGAGGAGAAAAATTGTCTTTTGCGTCAGGGATGGTCCTTTAGCCAAGGTCTTGTTTACTGGCATTCTTAGTATATCTGGCAGGATCTTTTAACAAGGCAAGTTGGAGGAGTAACTGAACGGGCCCTCTAATGTGTTTGAGTTCTTCACCCCTAGGATAACTTGTCCCCGTGAGGATTTCCAATGGCTGAGTTGCCTGTTACAGTTCTTTTCCGACATTTAGCTTCAAACATTCATGAGACCCCCATGCAGAACCTCAACTCTGCTGCTGTGTTGTATTGTTGGGAACCCAAGAGCAGCTGTTCATGTCTGTGCTGAGCCAGATCTCCTTGGATCCCTTTTCACTAATTCTTGTGTGCTGGGAGTGGTGGGGTGGCGGTGATGGCAGTGGTTTTGCTTTTAACAGCCAGCACCTGAATCTGTTAGAGCCAGAAGTATGCCTGCCCCAACTAGACCCCCAACGGACCTTAACCAGTGACAGACATGGTGGGAGTACCAAGCCCCGCAGCCTTGCCTGGAGCCAGGCATAACTTATATTCCAGGGTCCCTCCCCTCTGAGGGACTTTGCCTGAGGATACAACTTGGCTTGGCTTCCTCCCCTTCCCTCCAGCCTCCCCTGCTGCCTTCCAGGTTTTTCCTGAGAATGCCTCATTCATAAATCACTGGCACATCAATCCTTGCCTCAGGGGCTGCTTCTGGGATATCCAGCCTAAGATACCAATTCTTGGTGCCAGAGGTTAATGCTCAAGTTAGGTGTCAAGTCCCGGCTTATTTTTTACTAATATTAGAATCTCCGAATCCCAGAGCTGGAAGGGGCTACAGAGACCTTCTTTTTCAGTTCCCTTGCTTTATGGCTTAAGTCACAGAAGCCTGTACAGGGGACTCCATTTGCTCAGGTCACCTGGCAAGTTAGAGGTCATGCTGGGACCTGAACTTGTCTCCCACATATTCGTCCTTTGTCCTTCCCTTCATAGCTGCCTGATGTGGGTTGTAATTTACCCCCTGACTTCCCTTTAATAAGCTCCCTCCTTCCTTAAGGATCGCACACCCCAGGCAGTTGGATTCATTCCATGCACACTGTTTTCTCAGTCGTTCATCCTTGCTCAGGCCCAAACTTAACTTACAGAGCAGTCAGGAAACCAGAACTGTCTTTCCACTCTGTGACCTCCAATGTGGCGGTTACCTGCAGCTCCACCATCTGCTACGTTGGGATAAAATGTTCTCCCCCCAGTAATGAGTTTGCTCCCAGGCGGTGCTTTGAAAACACTCAGAGATCTTCAAATGGAAAGCAGGATTCAGAGGCAAATTAGCTGGCCCTGGCCCGAACAATGAGCTCTCCACTCACAGACCACCTCTTGTCAATTCCATTAATCTCGCCCAAATATTGCAAAATGTGTCAACTGCCCTTAGGTCCCCTACAACCTCTCAGAATGTACCCACTGATTCTCTGATATCCTGAAATCAACCAGAACTTCCAATAAGAGCAAGCATTCACCTAAAACTGTCCTAAAGGTTTTATGTAGAAACCACCTGCTAACATGCTATGTTTTCAGCCACGAGTGAAAATTACTTCCTGCAGCAAGACTGGCACAGCTGGGAATACACCCAAGATGTGTTAAAACATAACCAGCGTTGGCTTAGCCCTTGACCATGGGTGCCCTGACATGCTTCGTTTGGTTGTTTTAACAGCTGAGTGAGGTGGAGCCTATGATGGCTGCCATTTCACTGAGGCTCAGAGAATCAGAGGTCTCTCCAGGGTCACTCAGGGCTGGTCCGGGACATTGAAGCTGGGTCTTCTCTGCTTCCGGTACTTGTGTTACTGCACTTTTGCTGTTGATTCTCAAATGTCAGCCTGCAACCAGTCCCCCGGAAGTGTTCATTAACGCACAGACTGCTGGGCCTTCTCCCCAGGGTGTCTCAGTTGGGTAGGGAAGGAGGAGGGCTGAGAATTTGTTTTTTTGTTTGTTTGTTTAGTTTTTGCTTTTCTTTTGAGTCAAGGTATGGCTCTGTGGCCCAGGCTGGAGTGCAGTGGCATGATCTCGGCTCACTGCAACCTCCACCTCCCGGGCTAAAGCCATCCTCCCACCTCAGCCTCCCAAGTATTAATAGCTGAGACTAGAGGCATGCACCACCGCACCCGGCTAATTTTTGTATTTTTTGTAAAGACACAGTTTCACCATGTTGCCCAGGGTGGTCTCGAACTTGTGAGCTCAAGTGATTTGCCTGCCTCAGCCTCCCAAAGTGTTGGGATTACAGGTGTGAGCCACTGCGCCCAGCCTGAGAATTTGTATTTCTGTCAGGTTCCCAGGCAGTGCTGATGTCGCTGGTCCCAGGACCAACACTTTGAGAACCACTGCACTGAGCCCTGCCATGTTCTGTCTCCCACCTTGACACTGAATACTGCCTGAAATAAGTGACTGATCAACTGAGGCTTGGGAGAGTCTTGATTTAAATGTCAGAAAAGAAGTTTCCCTTTTGATTCATGCCAGTGGGCAGCGAGGGCCATGAATTAAGATCCTCCCTTCATGGTGGAGAGATGCTGTTGGTCCTCCATATCTCAGAGGCACGATTAGCTGCACCGCGTGTTTTCTGTGGAACTCCCTGTCTCCCAGCAGCTGGGGCCCCAGCGAATAATCAGGGGGAGATGTGCTTTGCAGCTTATGGAGGTATTCAAGGCCAGCTCTCCCCATGGGTAGAATCAGTGGCTGTTGACATGATAGAGTTTGGGAGCCTCAGAAGAATGCCCGTTTTATTGCATTCCTGGTCAGTACCCTCTCAAAGGGGCCCCTAGGGTCTCTCTCCAGCTGCTCTTCTGAAATGAGGGTTCCCCTGGGAGGGGACAGGTAATACTTGCCTAACTCCTTATGATAGATCACATCAGCTGAGAGCCTTGCCCACAGAGGAGGAGCCAGGGGGCAGCCTAGGGGAATGATGAGCGGTTGCTGCAGACAAGGAGAGGGCTCAGAAAAGGGAGGAGTTATGCCAGATCCAAATGCCAGTTTCATCTGAGTTCCCTCTGCCTGCTGGTGAAGACTGCACTAGCCGGCCCTCCTTCTGGAGCCGACCTTCCCTGGCTTCCTGACATCCTGAAAGTTCGGCCTCCTTTCTAGGGCTCATCCCCGAGCCCTGTCTTCCAGGATTGTCCCTTTCACTGTCTTCTTAGCTTTTCTTTCTTTTGCCCCAGGCTTTTTGGGCAAGACGGTCTCTGCGCATCCTGTGACAAGCGGATTCGTGCCTATGAGATGACAATGCGGGTGAAAGACAAAGTGTATCACCTGGAATGTTTCAAATGCGCCGCCTGTCAGAAGCATTTCTGTGTAGGTGACAGATACCTCCTCATCAACTCTGACATAGTGTGCGAACAGGACATCTACGAGTGGACTAAGATCAATGGGATGATATAGGCCCGAGTCCCCGGGCATCTTTGGGGAGGTGTTCACTGAAGACGCCGTCTCCATGGCATCTTCGTCTTCACTCTTAGGCACTTTGGGGGTTTGAGGGTGGGGTAAGGGATTTCTTAGGGGATGGTAGACCTTTATTGGGTATCAAGACATAGCATCCAAGTGGCATAATTCAGGGGCTGACACTTCAAGGTGACAGAAGGACCAGCCCTTGAGGGAGAACTTATGGCCACAGCCCATCCATAGTAACTGACATGATTAGCAGAAGAAAGGAACATTTAGGGGCAAGCAGGCGCTGTGCTATCATGATGGAATTTCATATCTACAGATAGAGAGTTGTTGTGTACAGACTTGTTGTGACTTTGACGCTTGCGAACTAGAGATGTGCAATTGATTTCTTTTCTTCCTGGCTTTTTAACTCCCCTGTTTCAATCACTGTCCTCCACACAAGGGAAGGACAGAAAGGAGAGTGGCCATTCTTTTTTTCTTGGCCCCCTTCCCAAGGCCTTAAGCTTTGGACCCAAGGAAAACTGCATGGAGACGCATTTCGGTTGAGAATGGAAACCACAACTTTTAACCAAACAATTATTTAAAGCAATGCTGATGAATCACTGTTTTTAGACACCTTCATTTTGAGGGGAGGAGTTCCACAGATTGTTTCTATACAAATATAAATCTTAAAAAGTTGTTCAACTATTTTATTATCCTAGATTATATCAAAGTATTTGTCGTGTGTAGAAAAAAAAACAGCTCTGCAGGCTTAATAAAAATGACAGACTGAAATACAGTGTTGTTTATTTGATTACGACTTATAATTTGGGATGGCGGGGAAATGCTCTGCTTTTTCTTTTCTAAAGGAGAAGCAAATAAGCAATTTACTCTTAGGTCAAATAAAAACTTCTGTGTATTGCAAGGGTTTGTATGAGGCAGGCACATTTCTATATTACTGGCAATTATGTAACAGGTCATCATGTAGCTCAGAGGAATGTAGAATAATTAAATTGTTATTGTACAATATGCATTTCACTTCAGCATTGTATGGAGTGAGTGGAAGGCAAGATCATTGCCTTTGGGAAACTTGTAACCTAGAAAGGACACAAATACATAAAGCAGATTCCCTTTGGGAGAGAAGGTAATTACCTAGTTTGAAATGTGGCAAAGATGCTGAGCTTGACACTTCGATTTTCCAAGACGGGTGTCTCAGGGTGTTTTATGACAAGTGGTTAAGAGGACCTTTACTTTGCGGATTTAAAGCAGGCACCTTGGTTTGTGTGTTTGCCTTCCCCGGAGTCAGGCCGCCCCCATGAACTGATGCAGAGCGCCACCTTCTGGCCATCACCTTAAAGCGCGCTAGCCCAGGAGGGTCCCGACGTAGGACAAACCTAGATGAAGAAGAATATGCTTTTCAATGATTTCCTTAGAGTACTCGGAAATGCAAGAAGTCTAAATGTGTTCAGTTATTAAGACACAAGAAACATGCAGCTAAGGCTGCATGTTAACTATAAGATTCCTTTAAATCTTCCTAAGGTTTGTGATCTTTGTTATTTTTAATTTTTTTAAATCCCTGGACAGAGAGACAAATGATTTTTTTTCTTCTAGAGGAGAAATAATGAAGTGATGGCTCTCTTGGTCTGTAAAATGCTACAAGTAGTTGGGAAATTTGACTGCTTAAGGTGGCCTATTTAAAACAAATCCAGTTACATTGCATTCCAGCTCAGGTGATGGAAAGGCATTACCAGCGAGGGGATGTTTGTTCTAAGTCAGTGGTTCTCAAACTCTCTGGGGACCAGCAGAATCAACATCACCTGGTAACTTATTATAATAAAGAAACAGATTCATGGGCCCCACCCCAGATACCCTAAATCAGAAAATCTGGGGATGGGGTTCAGCAATTTGTGGGTTGTTTGTTTGTTTCTTTGTTTTGAGACAAGATCTCTCTCTGTCCCCCAGGCTGGAGTGCAGTGTTATGATCCTGGCTCGCTGCAGCCTTGACTTCTTGGGCTCAAGCAATCCTCCCACCTCAGCCTCTGTAGTAGCTGAGACTACAGGCTCACACCACCACGCCCAGCTAATTTTTATCTTTTTGGTAGAGATTGGGTTTCCCCATGTTGCTCAGGCTGGTCTTGAACTCCTGGACTCAAGTAATCCACCTGCATTGGCCTCCCAAAGTGTTGGGTTATAGACATGAGCCACCGTGCCCCACCTGTGTTTTAATATGCCTTAAAGATGATTCTGACGCATGCTCAAGTTTGAGAATGGCTATTCTAAAATATCTCCCAGTTAGGAAGATCAAGCATTCTAAGTTATTAATATTTGATGCAAAGGTTAATCACTGAAACTCTTCCACATGTAGATACTGTCTACCCTTGGTTCCTAAACTGAAAACTTTCACATACATTCATCACTCATTTGTTCTGCACATCATCTTCAAAATCAATCACAATTTAATTCACCATTTTAAACCATATTTACAGTAATAATAGTAATGGTAATAGATTTTATCTATGCAATTATCTTATAAGCAGTATTAAGTAAAAATACAAATGATCATTGCTTTGGAAATCTAAACTTTATTCTTAATCCCCATTGTAGCACAACACACATTAAGATTCAAGAAATCAGCCAATATTTTTGTCATGCTCAACAAAGCAATAATTAACCTTTTCCATTTGTCAATGGCACCATCTTGCAGAATTGTGGATGCGCAGGCAGTCTTTGTAGCACGTCACCCCAGGGGCCCAAATATCTAACCCACAACTGACTTAAGAGGAAAGACATGTAAAGGGACTCAGTGGGACCAGCTCCCAAGGTCTACCCTGGTGGTCCTTGCATGAATGTGTTACTGTGTGTGCTCTAGACCTAGGGTCAGGAGAACTGACATCTGCTCTCTTCCCTGGTCCGTGCCTTCATTAAAGCAGTTGGCTGGAACATTTTGCATCCTCTTATCTCTTGAATGTCTTTTGCCCCAAACCAGCTTCCTTTTATTGCTGCTTCTAAAATAACTACTACTTTTCA
Organism: Homo sapiens; assembly: GCF_000001405.40. Taxonomy (NCBI): domain Eukaryota; kingdom Metazoa; phylum Chordata; class Mammalia; order Primates; family Hominidae; genus Homo; species Homo sapiens. The sequence continues at coordinate 33,856,343 of NC_000011.10, read as the reverse complement.
GGAAAACTTGGAGTCCTACAAAGTTAAAATAGAACAAGCATCTAGGAGATTTATCATCTGAAGACTTGGATTTGAATTCCAGTGGACATGACTTTAATTGCTTAATAACCATTTACATAGCACTTACCATTTGCCAGGCACTCTTCTAGTTTTACATACATTAACTCCTTGAGGCCACATAACCTGCCTCGGTGGCAGTTTCTACTTCTTATCACCTGCATTGTGCTGCCAAGGAAAATGAAGCACAGATGGTTAAGTAACTAACTTCCTAAGGTCCTGCAGCTGAGAAGTGACAGCAGTCGCTTTAACCAAGGCGCTTCACCCTGTGCCCTGCTGCTCTCTCGAAGTCTCACCTCACTGAACAGCAGGTTTCCCATCTGCAAAAGAGGGAGAATGAACACCTTCCGTCCCAGATTATTTGGGGATATTTGAGTTTAGGCAGAAATGTAAACAAAGCACAATGATATAGGATTAGCACCACAATAAAGCAATGTAAAAAGTGCTCTGGAAACGCAGATAAGGGAACAATTAAATTGGCCCAAGCATATCTGTCTGGAGTAAAGAGAAAGAGACATTTGAAATGGCCTTGGACCTGGAAGAGCAAAGACTTGGGGACCTTGACTTGCAGCATGAGTATTTCAGTGAGCCCAGTTTGTGTATGGGTGTTGGCTGGAGGCCAGCCAGTGAAGGGTTTAAATTTTGATGCTGTCACTTTCTGGTGGGGTGCCCTTAATTGCCAGTTTCTACAAGATCTGGGCCCTGTGGACATTGCTGACCTGTGACTTGACCTTGGACCCTCAGCTCAAGCCCCGCCTCTTCCAGGTAGCCCCCTCAATCTCTCCAATTTACAGCTGCTCATCCAATCATTCTCAAGTACTAGAAATCTTCTAATTAATAGGATAAACTATTAATATGCTGGCTCCTGGACCAAACTGCAAATCTACAGAATCAGGATCTCTTGGATGGGACCCAGGAATCTACACATTCATCAAGCAACTCCTCTTCCTTTGTTGTCCCCTGACTTCAATAGAACATTGCTGCTAAACCCTGAACCCTGAGTTCCACAAAATCAGGGACACTGTCTCTGGTTTACCCTTGCCAGACTGTAGCACCTGCCTGGCACATAGTGCCCAATATATTTCCTTCCTTCCTTTGTTCCTTCCTCCTTCCGTTCTTCCTCCTTCCTTCCCTTTTCTTCCTTTCCTTCTCTTCCTTCCCCCCCTTCCCTTCCCTCTCTCTTTCTCCCTTTCTTTCCTCCTCTTTTTTTTTTTTTTTTTAGAGACAGGGTCTTGCTCTGTCTCCCAGGCTGGTTTTGAACTCCTGGGCTCAAGCAATCCTCTTGCCTCAGTCTCCCAAAGTGTTGGGATTACAGGTTTGAGCCACCATGCCCAGCCTGATTGTTATATTTTCTTTGTTTTATTTAAAACTTTGTTCTCTGCTTTTTTCTTTCTTTCTTTCTTTCTTTTTTTTTTTTTGAGATGGAGTCTCAGTCTGTGGCCCAGCCTGGAGTGCAGTGGCATGATCTTGGCTCACTGCAACCTCCACCTCCTGGGTTCAAGAGATTCTTCTGCCTCAGCCTCCCGACTAGCTGGGATGACAGGCATGCACCACCACACTAGGTTAATTTTTGTAAAGACAGGGTTTCACCAGGCTGGTCTCGAACTTCTGACCTCAGGTGATCCGCCCACCTCGACCTCCCAAAGTGCTGGGATTACAGGCATGAGCCGCTGCGCCCCACCTATTCTCTACTTTAAAACTTGATTTGAGAAGAAGGCCTTTTCTGAAACTAGCCTTTAAGTTCTTTATCATCGCTCACAGCATTTAGGCCAATGTCATGCATGTGGAAAAGCAGGAACAAATATTTATGGCATGAGTAGCTAAGAGAGAGGGCCAGTAAGTAAATAAATAGGGGAGATGAGGTTTTCTATAATTTTAAGAATAAATGGTAAATCAACATCAAAGTAGGAAGTAAAACCCAGGAATTTGCAGGGAAGGGGCAAGGAAGATAGAAGATAAGTCTGCAACATCTTGTTATTCCAGAAAGTAAGGAAATAGTAAAAACTAAATAAATAAATGAAATGAAATGAAAAAAATGATGTAAACATGTCATAAAGACAAAGGAGCCAGCTTAAAGGGGCTCTCAATAGCCAAATCTAAGACAATTTGATTATCAAAACAATTAAGGACAGTAACGAATTAAGGATAGTAATGAGTTTTAAGCATGGCAGGGGGCAGAATTCATGAGTTTATTCCAGTGATAAATAAATGAGGGAGAAGGAAGGACTCGTGTTTACAGCAGAATCTTGGATGCCAACTGGTAAATGGGAAGACAGCATGAGAGCTGGAAAAATCATTTTGCAACTGTGACAGTTAAGATAGAATCAAGCAAGCATTATCAATAGATGCTAAATTTCAACAGAGAAACAAAGAACAAGATATGGATATTTGGATGGTCTTCAAGTACCTTCCCATATATTCCTCACTAGCTATGAGAAGGAAAAACGCTAATTACACAGTAGAGAAATTGGATAGCACCTTGACCAGGTGATCTATGTGGGGCAGATGAGCATCTCAGGCCTCCAGATGTGATATCTGAAAAGGACAGAGAGGATCACTCTTTTTAGTAGTTCTGCTGAGAATATATAACATGTCTAATTATGAGACAAATCATTAGACAAACCCAAAATGATGAACATTCTAGTTTTAAAAGTTGATGGGGGGGAGTGTGGACTGTATTCTTTGAAAATGTTCATGTCATGAATAATAAAGAAGGCTGTGGGAATGTTTCAGGTTAAAGAAGGCTAAGGAGACCTGACAGCTAAATCCAGCACCTGGCCCCTGTACTCAGTCCAGTGCTGGAGGGAACAAATTCTACAAAGGGCATCATTGGGTCAAGTGATAAAGTCAGAATATGAACGGATAGATTAGTTAAAAAGTATTAGGTGTTAATGTAAATGTTACTGAAATTGGTAATTGTACTGTGTTTATGTAAGAGAATGTCCCTATTATTAGGAAATGCACCCTGAAATATTTAGGAGTAAAGTGATAGAGGCAGGAAGAAGAGAAATTCTAGGCAGACAGGGGTGGGTCCCTGGCAAAACCCCACCTTCCAGCCAAAAACCCTGCAACCCTCTGCCCAAAGTGAGAACTTCTATCCCTGTTTGCCCACTCTCTCCCCATTGATTCTTTCTGATTAATGTCTTTTTACCAATCCAATGTTGCCTTCTCTAAAACTACCTATGGCCCACTCCACCCCCCGCCATCCTGTGCCTATATAGACCCCAGACTCAGTCGGTAGAGGAGAGAAGCAGCTTGACTGGAGAGAGGCGACTTGACTTCAGAGGGAGAGCTGGACTTCAGAGGAGAGATTAACTTCAGAGAAGAGCCGGCTGGAGAACGCCAGATCTCAGGGAAGATTATCTGCTTGTCCCGTCCCCTCTCCAGCTCCCCTCTCCACTGAGAGCCATCTCCATCAATAAATACAATTCTCCACCTCCACCATCCTTCAAGTATCTGTGCGACCTCATTCTTCTTGGATGCTGAACAAGAGCTCGGGACCCACTGAGTGATGGTACCCAAAAAAGGCTGTCACACTGGCCCTTTGCCCTCACTGGTGGAGGGCAGCCTCCCCATGCGATGAGGCGAGAGGCCCACTGAGCTGACAACACACCACTGTCCACAGACACCGGAGCTAAGAGAGCATTGTAACATGCCCTCTGGGGCTTTGGGGGTCACAGGCATTCCCACCTGGGCACTGCTGCAGGGCCTGCAGGGAGCCTACTCTTGCCGCTGCCCAAAGCAGCCGGCCAGATCCTGCACTTGTTCACCCACGCGTTCCTCGCAAGAAGAGCTTGAGCATGGCGGGCCGAGTGAACAGGGCACGCCTATCGCAAGTCTGATGAAGGGGTGGAGAAAAACTCCTGCATCAAAGAGCCATTATATATGTAACTTAAATAGTTGAGAAAAAAGTTGTCTCTGTGTGTGTGTGTGTGTATGTGTGTGTGTGTGTGTTTCAAGAGAGGGAGAGAGAGAGAGAGGAGAGAGGAGAAATGATAAAGCAAATGAGATGAACATATTAACAACAGGTGAGTCTAGGTAAAGGATGTACTGGTACACTATTTTTATTCTTGCAACTTTTCTGTAAGTTTGAAACTATTTCCAAATAAAAAGGTATTTTTTTTTAACTCACAAATCTCGGCTTTTTCTTGTTTTGGGCTTTTTGGTTTGATTAGGAGAAGAACAAGGCAGATAAAGAGAGGAAAAAATATAGTGTAGAATTCAGTAATGTACTACTGTTCATTTGTCACAACTTTAATGTACTTTTGACCTTACAAATGTACCTCAAGCAAGTAATTCCCCTCTCCACACCCACTCCCCATAATGGGAAGAATGTGTTTAGAAGGGTTCACTTAGTGCTTATTTCTGAAGCAGGTTATTTCTCAACCTTATAAAATGAGATTACCAGAAATTCTGCATTTCCTTTGTAATTAGGATCAAGATGTAATCATCTGGCCCTGAAATGTGTATATTATAGGGGTAGGAATCTAAGCTATAATGTTTTGTATGTACATCTAAGAATTGAGTTAAAAGATGTTTCAAAGCAATGAAGAAGTCACATCCATTCTCTACCAGTGGCCATGTATTAATTCTCCCGGAAAATCATTTCTCCGAGTTAATAGAATCTTTGAAGCTAAATCAAGTCAATTTCCATTGTCACATTGTGATGCTTTTGAACTGGGCTCACTGAATTATCCTATTTGATGACCACTTTAAAGATGGCTTTGTTGTGAGCCTCAGCAAACCCACAGCCGTATCTCTGTGTCAGCCTCCCCACCCCACCCCATTCATTCAAATCACTTAATGAGCAGCTCAAGGCAAATGCCCCCCGTAACTACATCCCAGGCAAAATAGATATATAGTAGGTAAAATAGCCTATGTGATGTGATTGAAAGAACACTGAAATCAGGAAACCTGATTTTGCCACTAATTAGTGGAGTGTCTTTAGGTAGGTCTCAGTTTCCTCATTTGCAAACTGAGGAGCTTACAGTAGATGATCTCTAGGAATTTGGTAGTCAGACTTTGGTTTACAGACAGGTAAGTATGGAATTTGGGAGGAAGCATTTGTGGTAGCCACTCCCCAAGGTGACCCTAGTGATTCTTGTTTCCTGGCTTCACCTCCTGTGTTGTCTCCATTCACATGGAATAGGGCTAACTTGTCTAACCAATAGGATATTGAAATGATGGAATGTGACTTCTGAGGCTAGATCCAGACTGTTGCTTCCACCTTGCTGTCTCTTGGATCACTTGTTCTGGAGAAAAAAAAACAAAAACAAAAACAAAAACAAAAAAACAGCTGTCATGCCTTGAAGCTGTTCAGACAGCTCTACATGGAGCTCCATGTGGTGAAGAGGAACTGAGGCCTCCTGCCACCAGCCAGCACTCATCTGCCCATCTTATAAATGAGCCACCTTGAAAGCAGAGCCTCTGGCCCAGTCAAAGCCTCAGACAACTGCAGTCCCAGCTTATATCTTGAATATAACCTCGTGAGAAACCCCCAAGCTGGAATCAGTCAACCAAGCTGTTCTTCAATTTCTGCCCTACAGAAGTGATACAAGATAAATAATTGTTGTTTTAAGCCACTGAGTTTTGGGGCAATTTGTTATACAATAAGCTTTTATTTTGTATGCATTTTTAAATTCTTATTTTCCCAGTCATCCACTTTTTATTATATTGTACAAAAGTGTCAATCCATGGTAGATTGAAAGTTAAAAACTCCAGAGTTCGAAAAGCGCTGATCAGAATAATACAATCTTAGATGAAGGCTGAAAAAGTTTTTGAAATTATCCAGCCCATCCTCTCACTGAGTGAATAACTTGTCTCTTACAGTTTTCTAGCAATAAAATTCTAATTCTTGGCAGCATTATCACCATTAATGTTATTAAACATGACTTTTATTGAGCATTTGCCAGGTAGATGCACTATCCTAAGTATTTTATGGTCTTTACACCAACTCTACACAGCAAATATTTCTATCTTAATTTTACAGAAGAGGAAACTGAAGCTTGGGATAAAGTCAAGACTTTAATTCATCGAGGTCATCTCATTCTAGACTATATTGCCTCTAGCTTCATTAATTTGTTTATCTCCCAAAACTTAATTTTATAGAACCAAATAACATATATATATTTTCAGACTGCTGGAAATTACTTTCTCACTTATTTTAAGGAAAAAGAGACAGAATTCAAATCCTAGGCCAGGTGCGCTGGCTCATGCCTGTAATTCCAGCACTTTGGGAGGCTGAGGTGGAGGGATTGCTTGAGCCCAAGAGTTCAAGATGAGCCTGGGAAACATAGCAAGAACCCTGTCTCTATAAAAAATAAAACAAGGGCTGGGTGCGGTGGCTCATGCCTATAATCCCAGCGCTTTGGGTGGCCGAGAGGGGTGGATCACGAGGTCAAGAGTCCAAGACCAGCCTGGCCAGGATGCTGAAACCCTGTCTCTACTAAAAATACAAAAATTAGCCAGGCATAGTGGCACATGCCTGTAATCCCAGTTACTCAGGAGGCTGAGGCAGGAGATTCGCTTGAACTCCGGCAGCAGAGGTTGCAGTGAGCTGAGATTGTGCCACTGAACTCCAGCCTGGGCAACAGAGAAAGACTCCGTCTCAAAAAAAAAAAAAAATAAATAAACAAAAAATAAAATAAAATAATTAGCCGGGCCTGGTGGCACACACCTGTGGTCCCAGCTACTTGAGGGACTGGGGGGAGGGGAGGCTGAGGTGGGAAGATAGCTTAAGCCTGAGAGGTCAAGGCTGCAGTGAGCCAAGATTGTGTCACTACATTACAGCCTGGATGACATAGTAAGACCCTGTGTAAAACAAAAATATTAATATAGCCAATGTAAACCAAGTGTTAAAAGCATTTGCCAACAATAAATGTTTTCATTGCATTTAATGTTACCTAACAAAATGGGAGGGAGTGTAAATGTATAAGAGTCATCTTTGGAGACAAATGGATGTGGTTCTAGTTAGTCTTCTCATTTGTAAATGAAGATAATATACTTACATTAGCATATCATTGTAAAAGTTATGGGTAGTCTACATGAAGCAATGAGAACAGTTGCTGGCATTCATGCATGCATGCATTCAATAAATATGTATTGAGCGTTTCCAAAAGGCCAGGCACTGTTCTTGGCAATGGAAATACAGTGGTGAGCAAGATAGCAAGGTCCCTGTTACCACAGCACTTACATTCTAGTGGGAGGAAACAAAATAAATAAATACACAAGTAAATGAACAAATTTATTTCAGAAAGTGATCAATGAATTAGGATAAAATAGAGCAATGCGATAGAATGTCAAGAGATGCAGAGAGATGTCGTTTTAGAGGAGGGAGGGCGTGGTCAGGGAAAGCCTTTGTGAGGCAGTGGCTTTGAGCTAGGACCGAATGTCAGGAAAGATTCAGTCATACATTCAGAAACAGAAGAAACAGGCAAGTGAAAGTCTTAAGTCAAGAACCCACTTGTCGAGCTTAAAGAACATCAAGAAGTCCAAAGTAGCTGGAGGAAAGGTGATACATGAGACCAAATCATGTAGGATCTTACAAGGCTGAAGATGAGCTCAGATTTTATTCTAACTGCAGTGGCAAGACTTTGGAATCTTTTAAGCAGGAGAGTGACATACATACTCTGATTAGTGTGTTGAAAGATCACTCTGTGTGTGCATGGAGGACCCTAGAGAGACGAGCTGGGAGGCTGTTGCATGATCCAGGTGAGAGATGATGGTGGCTTGGATTAAGGTGTTAAAATGGGGATAGAGAAAAGTAGGCAAGTGTATTCGGCCATTTTTGCATTGTTATAAGGAAATACTTGAGACTGAGTAACTTATAAAGAAAAGAGACTTAATTGGCTCACAGTTCAGCAGGATGTACAGGAAGTGTGGTGGCATCTGCTTCTGGGGAGGCCTCAGGGAGCTTTTACTCATGGCGGAAGGTGAAAGGGAAGCGAGGCATTTCACATGGCCAGAGCAGGAGGAAGGTGGCGGGGAGGTGCTATACACTTCTAAACAACCAGATCTTGTGAGAACTCTATCACGAGATCAACACCAAAGTGGTGGTGCCAAACCATTCATGAAGGAAGCGCCCCCATGATCCAATCACCTCCCACCAGGCGTGACCTCCGACAGTGGGGTTTGCAATTGAACAAGAGATTTGGGTGAGGAAACAGATCCAAACTATGTCAACAGGTTGCAGATATATTTCAAAGGTAGCTAAAATGACTTCGTTGGCACTAAAAAAAGTTTTTATTATTACTACTAATAATAGGGACTTTTTTAACCATCTTGTGCAGGATTTTTGTTGAAGCAATATTGTCTTAGTTGTTTATTGCAACACAATTTGCTGTGTTCTCTAATGTTTTACTTGCTTAGTGTAATCAGGGGAAATGAGTTACTGAGAAAAGAAAAAACTC